>NW_017363814.1:300000-420675 GCF_000001405.40 Homo sapiens | reverse complement strand
GTGGATTAGCAATTACATACACCTCCGTTGCACATTTAAAAAGGCATTTTGTTGTTGCTGCAAGAAACCACTATGCAGGGCTTTTGGTCCTCCCTAAAGGAGAGAAACGGTATCTAGGAAATTAATTCTTCTCTCAGGCCCAAATGCAAAATTGCAGAAACCACTTGCTAAATATGGTCAGCCATTTTTAAGAGTCCAGAGAGTCTTTTCTCAGGCGTACTTTATTAGAGGCCATTGATCAGTTTCTACCGATTATTATAGTTAATTGAAGGGAAATCTGCGACTATGGCTATTTATTGGCATTTGCGTTCGGCTCAGACAGAAGCTAGTTTTGAAAGTGGTATCCGTAGAGTTATCCCGCTTGCACACTTCCTTGCCTAGGGGTGGTGGGGGAGCGCTGAGGGCTTGCGGGGTGTCAGCCACCAGGGCTTTCTGCTCATCAGTCAGCATCGTCAGACATCCTGGAAGTGTTATGATGGCGCTGAATGTAGAAAAAGGGTTCTCAGGGCGGATATATTGTCGTCATTCCTGGTGGCAGAGGGGAGTGACAAGAGGCTCACACGTCGCTGGGTAGTAGCACGCATAATAAAGTGTGGTTTGCACCATGTGTGCCACAGATTTCTCGGGTTTTCTGGAAGGCTTTTCCAAGTTCCGCCTTCTCCCCTTTAAAGCCATCCTGGCCCCAGCTATGCATCGGCCTTTGACTCCATCTGTCCTTCCGCTGCGGACGGGAGTCCCTCTCGCCAAATGGAGAACACAAGTTTGGCACCCCAAAGTGATGATAACCTCTACCCTCTTGGCTCAGCGCGAGCCAAGAGTCAGGCCTGCAGAGGGACGGTCAAGCGGATGGAGGGGGAGGCCGCGGAGAGGCCGCTCCTCTCACCTCCCCGCACCCATCATCACTTGGCACTTGGCCAAGCCCAGGCAGACGCCCCGCCTGCGCGTCCCCCACCCGCCCCGCGGTGCACGTCTCCCAGTGCTTTTGCATTTGCTCCTCTTCCGCCCTGCTGCAGAGCGCGGCTCGCAGGTTGGAGTTTGCCCTCGTGTGCGCCGCATCACACGGCAGGGAGGGGAAGGCAGGCGGCGGAGGCTGGGTCGGAGCAGGAGTCGCGCGGTCCCTGGCGCCCGGAGACACAGTGGGGAACCACCGCCCCGCCCCCGGAGCAGCGGACAGGGCCGCAGACCTCCCTTCCCCCCTCCCTCTCTCCCTCCTCCCCAGCGCCCTGACTCCCTGCCTCCACGCCCTTACTCCACCCCCTACTCCGGCCAGATCCCCATCCTCTCCTTGTGTGTGCGCGCTTCATATAATCTCCTCCTTTTTGGCAAAAGAAATAATGCACCTGACTTTACCAGGGGGGAACAACCAGCCGAGTAGAACAAGGAACAGATGTAAAGGGAATAAAAGGAGAGAGAAAAAGAGATGAGATTCGTTTAAAGAAATCCAGGGGCAGAAGAGGTGGCTGCCGCGGCAGAGGCAGCTAGAGCTTACTTCCCTGTCTGCGTGAGCTGCAGGCAGAGGACGCTTTCACCAGTTGCAGATGTAACCTCGGGAATTCCTGGGCCGTCGGTTTGTTTGCCAAACAAAGTCTTTTCTTCTCTGGCTCAGACACTGAAGAGGCTCCTGGATTTTTCTGCGATCCTGCCACAAGCTGGCAGTTACCCGAGAGCCTTCCCAAGGAGCTGGAGGAGAAATGAGCCCTTGTGGGCGGAAGATGGGCGAAGGGCGTCAGCAGCGGCGGGCTCCGGTCGGGAAGCTCCTTCTGCTCCCCGGGAGGAGAGATACACCCCATGGGCGGTCAGGCAGCAGCGGCGCCAGGACGCAGCGCTCCCTGCTCTGGCTCTTGGTGCACGTGTGGCTGTGGGCGGCCTCGGGCTCCTCTGCCCAGTTGTTCAACCTCACCCTTTCCGTAGATGAGGGGCTTCCCCCGGACACGCTGGTAGGTGACATCCGCGCCGGGCTGCCGGCCGCGCAGCAGCAGGAGGGGAGCGGCTTCTTTCTGTCGGAGGACTCCGATGACTCCCCGCTGCTGGACGACTTCCACGTGCACCCGGACACCGGCATCATCCGCACTGCGCGGCGCCTGGACCGCGAGCGGCGGGACCACTACAGCTTCGTCGCCGCCACGCTGCTGGGCGCTGTGGTGCAGGTGGAGATTCGCGTCAACGACGTGAATGACCACTCGCCCCGCTTTCCCCTCGACTCCCTGCAACTCGACGTCTCCGAGCTCAGCCCGCCAGGGACCGCCTTCCGCCTGCCAGTTGCCCACGATCCGGACGCCGGACTGTTCAGCACTCAGGGCTACACCCTGGTGCAACCGTCCGACCTGCCCAAGGACCCCGCAGGCCCGTTCTTCCAGTTGCGCTACCGGACTCCGGGGCCACTACCGTCACCGCTTTTGCCAGGCTCCTCGTCACCCCTGGAGCCTCTAGATCTGGTGCTGCTGCGGCGCTTGGACCGAGAGGAGGCGGCGGCGCACCGGCTGCAGATCGAGGCATGGGACGGCGGCCGACCCCGGCGCACCGGCCTCCTGAGCGTGGAGCTGCGCGTGCTGGATGAGAACGACAACCCGCCGGTCTTTGAGCAGGACGAGTACCGCGCCGCGGTGCGCGAGGACGCCCAGCCGGGCGCCGAGGTCTGTCGCGTGCGCGCCACCGACCGCGACCTGGGGCCCAATGGCTTCGTGCGCTACAGCGTCCGCGCCCGGCAAGTGCCTGGGGCGGGTAGCGGCGGCGGGGCACTGGGCGACGCGGCCTACTTCGCGGTGGAGGAGCTGAGCGGCGTGGTGCGAGTGTGGAGACCTCTGGACCGCGAGGCACAGGCCTGGCACCAGTTGGTGGTGGAGGCCCGCGATGGAGGCGCCGAGCCTGAGGTTGCCACGGTGCGCGTGTCCATCGCCGTGCTGGACGTGAATGACAACCGGCCAGCAATTCACGTGCTCTTTCTCACAGAGGGAGGCGTCGCCCGTGTCTCTGAAGGCGCCCGACCGGGCGACTACGTGGCTCGCGTCTCGGTGTCTGACGCGGACGGTGACTGGGAGAAGGAAGATGAGGCCACAGGGGAGCTTGGTGTGGGTCTTGGAGACGGGAGCATCTCTCTGTCCTTGGAAGGCGGAGAGGGAGACTTCGCGTTGCTACCCGGCGGCCCCCCAGGGGTATTTTTCCTTTGCGTGGAGGGGCCCCTGGACAGAGAGAGCCGCGATCTGTATGAGTTACTACTGGTGGCCACGGACGCGGGGTCCCCGCCGCTGAGCACGGAGGAGACGCTGCTACTCCGGGTCGCTGACCTCAATGACCAACCACCTCTCTTCAGCCAACAGCATTACAAGGCCTCAGTGTCCGAGGCCGCGGCCCCTGGCACTGTAGTCATGTGGGTCAGCGCCTCCGATGCCGACGAGGCAGGCAGTGATCACGCCTGGCTGCGCTACACTGTAGTCCAACTCTCGGCTCCCTGCAATCTCGGCTCCCTGCAATCAAAGATGGTCCACACCGCAGAGTGTGGACCATCTTTTGCCATTGATTCCGAAAGCGGTGCGATCAGCACTATCCGGACTCTAGACCGAGAGGTCCAGGAGGCGGTGGAGCTGAAAGTGGTGGCCCAGGACCTCGGAGAGCCCCCACTCTCTGCCACCTGCCTGGTGAGCATCACCGTAGATGATGTGAATGACAATGAGCCCATCTTCTGGAGGCAGGTGTACAATGCCACCATTGCAGAGCATGCCCCGGTTGGACACTGCTTTCTGCAGGTGAGTGCATCAGGCCTGTGGGCCAACCTGAAGGCTTGGGAAGGGATGGAGAGGGTTGTGAGTTGGCCTAGGAAATTGTGATGTGGAGGATAATATTCCGGCTCTCAAATACAAGACTGGCGGTAGTGCCCCCTCTACAGTGAGATGAATGATGCCCTCTAGTCACCTAACTTTTTTTTGCCAGGGTCTTGGCTACATGATCTCTAAGGTCCTTTCAACTTGACTTTTAGATCTTGATTTATCTTATTGAAGCCTGATTTCTTTCCTGCTGGATGTATGCACCTAAATAGGTTCAGGAGGAACTGCCCATTCTAAATCAGACCTCTTCCAACTGACAATGTCTCACATCATATCATATAAATACATGTATACACACACACACACACACACACACACACACAGACACACACACACACATATATATATTTTTGTCAAACAGAGTGTCACTCTGTTGCCCAGGCTGGAGTGCAGTGGCTCAATCTCGGCTCACTGCAACCTCCTTTTCCCAGACTCAAGCAATTCTCCTGCCTGCCACCATACCTGGCTAATTTCTGTATTTTTTTAGTGGAGATGGGGTTTCACCATGTTTGCCAGGCTGGTCTCGAACTCCTGACCTCAGGTGATCTGCCCTCCTCAACTTCCCAAAGTGCTGGGATTACAGGGGTGAGCCACCACGCCCAGCAATGTCTCATATATTTTTTTAACAGCTTTATGAGGCAACCTAGGGAATAAGGTAGTTCTCGTAAGTGAGTTTTTAAAATGACCAAGTGTATATCTTTATACACTGACACTGTTTTGAGTTACCTTTTCCAGAGACTTCTTACATGTTTTCCTACCTTCCTTCGAAGCTTACAAAGGTTGGATGAAGACTGAAGTCATCTTTATTAGTTAGCATCAGGTGTGAGCTAAGCTTCTTCCATGATGCTTTCAGGACTCTGAGGGGCAGTGGGACTCAATTATCCTTTATAAAATGGGGCACTGTACACTGCTTTTTGATTTGGGTGTTTTGCCTCTTGTAGTTTTCCTGATCTCTCCTTCACTATCAGAATGGCATGTTTTGCCCCCTTCCAGGCCATTCCTTTTTTTTTTGCTTCCGATTTCCTATTTGTTTCTTTTTTATTTTTTTGAGACAAGGTCTTGCTTTGTGGCCCAAAATGGAGTACAGTGGCACAATCATGGCTCACTGAAGCCTGGACCTCCCAGGGTAAAGTGATTCTCCCACCTCAGTCTCCCAAGTAGCTGCAAGCACAGGCATGCGCCAACATGGCTAGCTAATTTTTAAATAATGTGTAGGGACGAGGTCCAGCTGTGTTCCCCAGGCTGGTCTCGAACTCCTGGGCTCAAATGATACTCCCGCCTCAGCCTCCCAAAGTGCTGGGATTACAGGCATAAGCCACCTTGCCTGGCCAATTTCCTATTTCTTATCTGATGGGAGATAATCAAAGTTCCAAGACTGATTTATTTACTCTGAAATAACTTGAGTAAATATATCTAGCCTGAAGAGCTTACCAGGGCATGAAGCTCTAAAGCTTAATTTTGCTCTCAGCCTGGGTTGTTTTAAGATGTTTGCTGCTTACTTTCTGGTTCTCAGTTAGGGAGTTCAGGCTTTAGCTTTGCAAATTATGTCTCAAATAATAACCTTTAGATAATTGAGGTGCTACTGCAAAGTAAAAGTGGGTTTCATGACTGCTTCCACCATTTTAATCTTTTGGGTATATGGGTGATAATAATCTCCATCCCTTTCTTTAGAGTGATTGCCAGCTCTGAGTTGCTAGATTATTAAAAAGTGGCTTGATATGAATTAATGCTTGCTGATGAAATGGACAAATCCACAAATATTAGTGACTAACACTGTCAAAGTATATTTCTCTCTCAAGCAGAGTCTGATGTGAAGCAACTTGGCTGTTTCTCCTCCGTCTGAGAGAGCCAGGCCTGAGAGTGACTTACACAACTTCCGCCAATGTCACATTAGCCAGAGCCCAGCCATGCAGCGTCAGATGTACTGCAAAGGAGGCTGAGAAATGTAGAGGAGCCCGGGTATGCCAGTGCCCACTGATAGTTTCTTCCATGGATTTCTAAAAATGAAAGTCATAATAGGTGACAGGTTGGACAAGTTGACTTCCAATATTCCTTCCACCTGGAACTCCCTGAAGATCTTGGTATGAATAGTACAACTTGGCTCCATTGTTAGGAAAATAAGCAGGGTGGATTAATTATGATTTTTTTGATGAAAGCCTGTCTTTAGAGTTGTTTCTATCATCGTGAGATGATTCTTCTATGAGGTGTGAGTTTATCCCATTGTTACAACTCCATATGTGGTAGATCCATTATGGTGAGCTCAGCTTGGCTTACATGTAGGACTGCACCTCCAACAATTGCAACAAACCTTTCCAGGTTGCCAAGTATTGCTGCAGACAGCATTAAATTGTGCTGACTAGAATTTCTGGAAATTCCAGCGATCTAGCCCCTCAAGATTTGCAAAAGCCTCTTAGTCACTGGGCTCTCTGGTGGCCTCTCCAAGGCAGCTATGTGAACTTTCTGTGTTCCATACGCCCCACAGCTGACTTACCCCCTAATTTCCATATGAGATTCAAAGAAGCGTCTTCCTTCTTTCTACTCTCTCAATCTTTCTTTATACCACTTTGCAAAAACCAACTCCCCCATCTTGCCTTTGAATCTCATGACACCTCCTGTGTTCCATGGCTTTGCTTAATGACATTACATACATTCCTTGTAACTGTACCTTCTTTCTGTTGCCATCTACAAGTTTTCCTCTTTTACAGCTTATATCTGCTCAAGTTGCCTTTGTCAAAATCAAACAAAAACAAAAGGAAATACAGGAAAAACAAAATCTTGCCTAGATTTCCTGTAAGATAATACCATGTCATCTGATAAAAACAAACCCTTTAACTTCAAGTTGTCTTAGTGGTTACTCCACATCCCCAATGTTTGGGGTCCTACCACTCTAGTTGCTGCTGTTGCTGGCACTATGGTGCTGGCCACCCTCCCCTCTCCGAGTGTTGGCTGAACTCTTATATTCTCATGCCCTGACGAGACCTTTCCAAAGACTTATGAGTGAGGCAGAACTGAGGGAATTAATGCAGAGGACAAGAACCATTAGCAAACTGAGATAGATAACCTCTAGCTGCAAAAGGTTTTTACAACATTGTAGGCACTCGTCTGGACTTCTTAATAACTCAGTCCCTGCCTGTCTCAGGTGGACAGCCTCTTCTTAACAATCCACCCCTCAGGAGTTCCTTTCAATCTCTTGCTGCCTTCTTGGTCAAGACAGAGAGGGAATTCCACTCTGCAGACACCCAGAGATTTTCCTCCAGTTCTCATGTTTGGCCTGAAAGATTCCATTTTCGCTCAGATAACTGTCAAAAAGATTAACTTCAACCTCTAGACAAGAGCTCCATCCTCCACCCTACACTAAGTCTGATGTTGTGAGCTGCATTTGCAGCTTTTATCTTATAACCAGATCTTAGTCTGTACTAAGTATAACTCCAGCATTGAGACCTGAATTACATGTGGTAACATGAAGAGTATTCTTTCATACTCCCTCAAATACAAGTACTATGTTCATTCATCAATTCATTTATTTATCCAAACAACAACATTCATTAATTCAATAACATTGATTGAATTCAACAACATCTAACCAACAAATACTTATTGAATATCTATTACATGCCAGGAACTGTTCTTGGTGCTGGGGACAGCAACAAGCAAAACGGGCAAGGTGCTTGCTAGCAGAGCTTATTGTGTGTGTTCTCCATCTCCTTCCCTTCTCCGTCAGTCCTTGTGAATGAATGACATGTGCCTGACTCCCACTTGCTGATCACCCCTTCTCCATGTGTTCTGACCTTCTCCCATCACTGTACTAAATTCTGCCTCTCAAGAGGCGTGTATCTGTTTCTTTCAAATCCAATGGGCTTTTCTTAGTCATAACCTCTCTCATGCTCTCTGAAGCATTTTGGACTGCTGACCACTTCCTCTTTCTTGCATGCATCTTTTTCACTGCCCATTGTCTCCTTACATTCTGCCTCTCGCTTGCCAATTCCTCTTTTTCCTTTTTTCTCTTGTGCCACCCCACACTCAGTGTGGTAGAGGCATTCCCAAAGGCTCTGTCTTCCCCTCACTCCTTGCCTTTCTATAATCTCTTCCTGTATATTCCCAGAAGTTCATTTAAAAAAAAAAGCTCATAACACCACATGGATGTAAGGATTGGAGATAACTGGTATGTTGAGGTAGAAAGTGGTTTGTAGAGCTTTATAGGTGGGAAAGTAGATCTATCCAGTAGATCGGGGATTCTCTGTTATGTACATTTTTATTTACAACCTGTCATGGATGCATTCCACTGTAGCTGCACATTTTGTGTGTATGTAGGAATGTGTAATGCATTTCTAGGTATGATCATCTCCAAAAGAGAACCACTTAGGATGGACTTCAGAAAGTTGTGATCAGTAAGATTTCCCTTCTCTGAGGATTGAAATCTTACAATAAATCGATTTTAGTAACAACTAAACTCCAGATGTCTATTAATGGTCCCCTCACCTTTTAAATTATAAATGAAAAGTGAGCAACTGTGGAAGTAATTTATATTTTCATAGCCCATTAGGGAAATTATGCGAAATCATTTTTACAAATGCCAGGTTATTTTAATCTTACTGAATTAAAATCTTCATTTAATCAAAATATGTGTTTTGTAGTGAAAGTAGATCAGGTAAATATAATCGGAAGTATGAATTAATTGAAAATCTATGTAATCCATGGGGATAGGAGGAATTGGAATAATCACGGTGTGTCTGGTTCCTGTAGTGAAGTAATGGGAGGCTGTTTTGGAGACATGGGAGATATCAGTGTTTGCGCAGAGCTTGGCCTTTATTATTATGGAAATACATGGGAGATAATGGGAGGTTTGTGAATAGAGATTGACATGTGAAAAGTAACGTTTTAGGAAGAGTCATCTTAAATTAGTAGAAAGAATAGAAAGAAGTAAGGAGGGAAACCAGGTAGGAGAGTTCTGAGTCTCTTGTAATAACACATATTCAGCTACATGGGCCTGAATTAGGGGAATGGTAGTGAAGCGTAAGAGGAAGGATGGCCTTAGAGGTATCACAAAGGAATAATTGGTACAACTTGTATAGATGTGAGTGAGAAACTGGTGGAAGGAGTAAAAAATAACACCATGTTTTCCATCTGGATTAGTGGGAAGAATAGGAAAAGCTGGAGGTGAGAGTTTTGGGGGAAAGATGCTGGCTCTCTCGAGTTTTTGATTTCAGTGTGAATTAACGGCCAGTAGTATAGGAAAATACATCTTGAAGGCTATTTAGAGCTTCAGAACTACTAACAGGAGAGAATGTAAGGTTGGAGACATAAACTTGGAAGTTACTCATGTGGAGGTGATACTTAAAGCTGTGAAAGTGTCAGGATAATGGGAGAAGAGTCAATGGCTAAGGACGCTGGCTGAGACGAGGGTCTTGCGACTCATATGATGTTGGGGGGCAGGTCTCTGTGATGATAATGCTATGTGCTTGTATTCCTGAGCCTCAAGGACCACAACCCAGAGAGATGGTTGGCATCTTACTCCATTTTCTGAGCTCCTCAGCATAGCTTCTGAGATATTCAGCCTCCCATGCCACAGTCCCAGGCATTAAGGCACTCGTTATTTGAATCTGCCTGTTTCTCTCTCCTCTTCTTCCTGTTTCCTATGGACCATCTGGTCAGTCCCCATGTGCAGTGAAGACAATGAAAGCCTGTTTTAGTCATTGTTGTCCCCATTGTAACTCTTGTCATCCAGGCAATTTGGTCTCATGTTTCTTCAGTTGACCCAGTTTTGATGTCCTTATTGTTACTTCCTCTCCAGGAACCCTATCCTACAGCCATCCCCTGTAATCTGGAATCACTTAGAACAACTCTACCTCTTATGTCTCATCTCACTCTCTGATCACAGCTTGCCAGCCTTTCCGCTTTCTCAGCCTTTGATTTGGTTTGCATTTATTTTTTAATCTAGATTTTTTTCTAGATGACTTGCTCTTTCTTTTCTCTTCTTGTATATCACCCCCCTCCTTGCTTTAGTTCCTTCTCTGTTCGGTTGTAATTCTTCTATGCACCAAACTAACCCTTCCTCTTCCATACATGTATACATATTACCAACAGTAGATCTCTCCAACTATATCTCCCCCTGCCCCACACACTCTCTGAAACACTCAGACTACAGGGGACTGCTGGAGTAATTCCAAGTGATAATAGAGTCTACTTAGAGTAGAATTTAAGTATGGTATTTTAATATCAGCCAGGCCCTCAATTCTGTTGAGTAATTTTGTTGTATTCATCTAAGCATCTCTTCCACAACCTCATTCGCTTTAAGCACCATAGCCTGCTGCCTTTACTCTTTACAGGTAACTATGCTTCCTACTCAGTAGAGGCTAGTAGCTGAAAACTTGCTTGTGTTTTTGCCTGCCACCATGAGGCTTTCTGTAAATGCACTATCCAATCCCTAGGGACTAGATGATTTTTCTTTGTCCACATCAAACTCACCCATTCATATTCTCCCATCCATCTATCCATCCATCCAACAATCCCCTATTCCATCTTCTCTGACATGGATTCTCAATCACTCCATTTCTCCTTTATCTTTTACCTCTACCTCTATACTTACTTATTCTCTTAGCACATAATACGACTCTTTCATAGTTTGTAATATTTAAAAACTAAGTATGTGAGGGTCTTTTTCGCTCACTTCTTTCCTCAATGTCCTGTAGGAGTTGATGTCTGCTACCTATTGGCCCATTTTTTTCCCCAAGTCTTTCCTACTCAAAGAAGAGTTCTGGAAACCTGTGCTGCTATCTTTTTCAATGTCTGATATCTCTTGACGATGGACTCAGTACTCTGTTTTGGTTCTTGAGCAAAAGTGGCCTTCTTTCTCATCTGTTAGTGTCAAGAAGTTGTGAAAAAAATGTAGCTGCTAAAGTGTAAGAAATGACATATGGAATTTATTTTTGCTCATTTCTTAATGTTATACACTGTAATTGATGGAAGCCATTAACTAATATGTTTCATATGAGAAGAAATGGTTGAATCAATCAAAATAGTATATTCTATTGAACAGGCAAAAGTGTCTTAGTCTTGATTATTGTTTAAATCATCTTGCTACACTCACTTTTTACTGGATGGTTTTTGGGCATGCTAACCCTACCATATCTGTACAGTAAGACACCGTGTCTTCCTTTCTCAATAATTCTGTTTTGAATTTCCTTTTAAACAGCCCAGGCTGTTACCTTCATTTCAGGCTTTATCACTTTCCCATAAACATGCAGATCTCAGAGTCCACTGATGAAGTGTGTGAAAACTCCTTGGTAGAGAGGATGGAAGAGGTTTGCTCGTTCTCATTATTTCCAGGTGTCCTTCATTTGGACAGAAGAAGAGTAATCCCGTGGATAAAAGCTTGCAATGCAGAGTGAAACATACCCAAGTTTAAATTTCAGCTCTGTTACTTAATAGCTTAACCTCAAGTAAATTCCTAAACCTTTGTAAGCCTCAATTTTGTCATCCATAAAATAGGGATGATAATGGGATTCACCTGGTAGGGTTATTGTGGCGATTAAATGAGATGATGCATATCCAGGACACAGAGCACTGCCTAGCACATGGTAAACTCCCAGGAAAGTTTACCATTATATGTAATTTCACTTGAGTGTGATTAAACTATGGAGCTAAGAGAGAGTGAGAAAAAGAAACGTCAGGCTGGGCATGGTGGCTCTTGTCTGTAATCCCAGCACTTTGGGAGGCTGAGGTGGATGGACAGCTTGAGCCCAGGAGTTTGAGACCAGCCTGGGCAACAGAGCAAAACCTCTACAAAAAATACAAAAATTAGCCAGGTGTGGTGATGTGCACCTGTAGTCCCAGCTACTTGGGATGCTGAGATGGGAGGATTAGTTGAGCCTGGGAGGTCGAGGCTGCAGTGAACCATGATTGCGCCACTGCACCCCAGCCTGGGTGACAGAGCAAGACCCTGTCTCCAATAAAATAAAATTAAATAATAAAATAAAAGTCAGTTCTTTCTTTTAAAAATTCCTATGGCTAGTCATGTTAAATGGCTAGAGATATGATCTCAATAGATACTCTAGGAAAACCATTGTCCTAATTAATACCCAGGGCTTCCATCCCAAATTCAGTCAGCTTCCTGCCTTGGACAGCTAAACAGGAGCTGTTTGTACAAAATTTACCAACAAAAAGGGACATCAGTTAAAAACTATTTGTATACCACTTTTAAGAAAGCTGAACAACACAAATCTTTCCTTAAAAGTTCTTTTGCATATTAAAGGAAACATTATTAAAATAATTGTTAACATATTATTATAATTAGAATATTAGGCCAGGCAGTGGCTCATGTCTGTAATCTCAGCACTTTGGGAGGCCTCTGTTGGTGAGTGCTTGAGGCCAGGAGTTTGAGGCCAGCCTGGGCAACATAACAAAACCCTATCTCTATTTCAAGAAAATAAATTTTAACAAGAATATTAATGTAAAACTTTTTCAGTTGAATTGATTTGTATTATGTGTGTACTAGATATATTGACAGCCCTTCATGAAATCAAGTAAATTGTTTATGCATGCTTTATATAAATTAAAATCTTTATTTTCTATTTTAAATGACTACAGTAATTTGTAATTATTGCATACTTGCTTTGATGACACTGTTGATGTATTTCATACTAAATTCTCAGATTAGAAAATGCCATCTCCTTCATGCTTTTGAAAAATGTATTATGGCAAAAGGCAGGGAAGACCTGTAGTAGAGCTTCACTTTCATGAGAATAGCTAAGAAGAAAGAACCAAACAGAACTTGGCAATTTTTGAGTGGCTTCATTACTGATGACAGTTAATCTAAAAATTCTGTTCAATATGACAAACCGTCCTCCAACTTTTCAAAGCTTTTTTGTTCAGATTATTCTGAAATTTCCTTTGTTCTTCATTTCAATTAACTGTGCAGAATTAGCAATTGTTATGGGTATGATTTCAAGCGATTAAATATTATTTTTAGCCTTACCGTATATGGCCTTAAACACGATTTGATTTTTAACAATTGTTTTGTTAGAAACTCCTCATGTTGTATGTTCATCTTTATTTCTACATTTGGAAACACAGAGGAAGTTAATGTTTATTTAGAGATTGACTTGTCTGGTCCTAAGAATATCTATTATACAAGAACCAAGTTATGAGGTAAAGAGCAACCTAAGCTTATGCACTGTTTACTCTCCTTTGAAGTATAGATTATTTTAAGTAGGAACGGTTAAAAATAATACAAAGGCTGTTCTGTTACATTGTGTATAAACAAGAACACAATATTTCAGAGCTGTCAGATATATTTCCTGGACTCATCTTACAAGAATTTTTATATGGCATTTTTCTTGTGTAGAATCTAATTGTCATGCTTATGTCTGTTTCACTTCCACTGCCTCTATCAGCGTCCAGCATAAAGAAGAGAGGTGACAGGGAGGCCAATTTATAAATTAATGTTTGACGGTATTAGAGGTAATTTGCTTGCTGGCATTAAACATATAGTTTCTACATATATCACAGCATACTCTTAATACCACAACATGAATTTAATAAGTTTACCTTGAGTCTTGATTCTTAGTAGATTTTAAAAGAAAGATAATTTTTTTGGAACACAATAGTATTCAGATTTGCCATTTATACAGAGGAGTACAACTGTGCTCTAATCTAAATTCATAATATCTTAAGGCTACTTTATCATTATTTCTCTAAATGTGTTTTAACCTCTGAAGTACAGTTACCACATTTGTCTGTTACTTGTGAAGAAAACTTTTTTTTAAAATGAGAAAGCTTATTCTATGTGCCAACAGGAATCTTTCTAGAGAGTGCTTTTTCTTTATTTTAAAATATTTTTTTCTGCTCTATTCTTTCTTTTCTGTCTTTCAGAGATTCCAAATATACATATGTTAGACCTTTAGATCTGAGGCCTTGAGACTCTGTTCATTTTTCTTTTCAATAATTTTCTTTTCTATTCTTCAGATCAGATGGCTTGTATTATTTTCAAATTCACTGTCATGTTCTTCATCACCATCCTGCTGTTAAGCCCTTCTAACACATTTTTAATTTATTATATTTTTCACTTATACAATTTTCATTTTATTCTGTCTCATAGTTTCTGTTTCTTTGCTGATATTATCTATCTTTTCATTCATTACAAGAGTGTCTTCCTTTACCTCATATAACTATAATAGCTGCTTTAAAGTTTTATCTGTGAAATATAGTCATCTGTGTTTGGCTTCTTTAATTGTTTTTTGTCTTGTAAATGTATCATATTTCTCTAGTTTTTCAGATATTGAATACTTTTTCCTTGTATTCCGGACATTGTGTATGTTTTGTTGTGGAGACCGTAGATTCTTCTGAGTGTTACATTCTTCTGAATAATGTTGATGTTTTTGTTTTAGCAGGTAATCAACTTGATTGGACTCAAACTGCAAATTCTGACTCTCAGGCACCTGTGAAAGCCCCATTTCAGTTCTGTTTTTTCTTAACTGGGCTGTTTTCAGTCCATATCCCATGCATGTGGAGCTCAGAGGTCAGTCAGAAATTTGGGCATAGTTTATGTACAGAATTTCGAGCTTGCCCGGATTTCCCCTCTCTAAGAGTTCCCTCTTTCTCTCTAATGGCTATGGTTTCCTGGAACCCTATGCTAAGGTTCTTGTGTCCAGAAAGACTGTGTGTTTCTAGTGACTCTAACCACCCTGCATGGTGCCTTGACTGCTACCCAACCTCAGGTTCACAGCCTAAATAAATAATCCTCAAAAAATGGGAAACTCACTCCATATAGGTCCATTCTTCCATTTTGGACCCCTTGTAAAAAGTTGAATGCTTTTACTCACCCCTAGAAGGTTCAAGTATTTTTGTTTCTGTTTTATTTAAAGTTTACAGTTGTTACATGCAGGAGGGTAGGTTTCAGTAGGCGTATACTCAGTCATACCAGAAGCAGAACTCCCGCTGTATTCTTGCATTTCAATTTCTATTACTTTCAATGAGATTCAGATCATTAAGACTTAATAGTAAGAGTCCTTTGAAAATAAAGCCTGTAGAATTTTACTCTAGTTGTATAATATATTACATTGTTCTTGAGTGATAGCTATTGTGCACAGCTGCAAAGGTTTACTAGGTCAATGTGTTTTGGATTAACTAGTGTTACTAGTAGTAAATGCTAACAGTTTAAAATTATTTAAGTATTTTTAAGCTTCACCTAGTGTAAACAAATTATTGCATGTATTTATGATTATGGAATTTTAATTGAATAATTGTGATAATCCTTCATGGAAAAGTAGGAATAGAAATCAACTCCATGAATTAGCTGATAATATTTCCCACCCTATTTGGGATTGACTAGGACATATAGGAAAAGTCATTCACTGTGACCCATTTGAGGAACGTCAGTCCTTAGCAAGCTCTGACCACATGATAAGAACCACCTAGGATTGTTAACAATCATAAAGACTAAGTTTTGAATGCCAAAGACACTTTCATCTTAAGTGGAAATTTATTTTGCTATTTCTCTTTTTGAGAGTCAATGCTCTGGGACCCAAATATCTCACAATTATCTCTCACTGAGTACAACGTTCTCTTATCATGTATCAGATAGAAACTGACATTTCCTTTGATAATTGCTTTCTTTCCAAATAATCTATAACACAAATCTGATTATGTTACTCATGCTGAGCACCTTCCGTGGCTTTGCACTGCTTGTAAGATCAAGTTCACATCTAATCCATTCTGCCTGCCTCTCTATCCTTGTTTCAAGGGACTCTTCCCCAGTCCTCTGTATTTCAAAAAGGCACCGTGCTTTTTCTCAGCTCAGGCCTTTGTGCTATGTTATGGTCTGAATGTTAGTATGTCTCCAAAATTCATACATTGAAGTCCTAATCCTCAATGTGATCCTTTTGGGAGGTGGGGCCTTTGTGAGATAATTAGTTTAGATGAAGTTATGAGGGTTGCATCTGCATGATGGAATTAGTGTCCTTATAAGAGAAAGAGAGAGGAGTTGAATCTCTTTCCGCCACGTGAGGCTACATCAAGAGGTCACCTGTCCACAAACCAGGAGGAGGGCCCTCACCAGAACCCAACCGTGCTGGCACTTTGAGTTTGGACTTTCAGCCTCCAGAACCATGAGAAATAAACTTCTGTTGTTTAAGTGTTTAAGCCACCCAGCCTACAGTATTTTGTTATGGCAGCCTGAGCTGAGTAAGACACTCTAGTTCTTCCCTTTGCATTGAATATGCTGTCCTTGTCCTCTCTGTCATGAGTCTCCCCTTCCCCAGCTAACTTTTACTTGTTTCTTAAAAATATCATGTCCTTAGGAAGCCTTCCTTGACCACCTAAGCTCCCCACTTGCCCACTGTTAGTTAAGTTCCCATCTTATAAACACCTAAAGATAATATGCATTATGCAATAGTAAAGATAATATCTCTTATCATATATCAGATAGAACCTGACATTTCCTGATACCACGTAATGCGTCTTATGTTCTGCAGCATTCCTCACAGGTAACCACTTAGTATCTGCTTCCCTGCTCATTATAAGCATCATGAGATGATGGCAGAGACCTTACCCATCTTGCCTACTGCTGAGTGCTTAGTAAAATACTTGGCACATAATAAAAGTAAAATTTGTTCAATGATAAAATGAAATGCCCTGCATGGTAGCCACATAAAAGAGTGTTGATTACTTGAAGAACTGGGCACATTCTGCAGGGTAACAGTGAAGTCTATCTATAATCTTTCATGTTCTTACAGCTTTCTGAAAAGCAGTGCTGTCATTGAAATGCCTGCCATAAACATTACACAACAGTAAGACAATTAATACCCTTTTTGTGTTGTAATTTCGTATCAGACAGATCTTTCCATTTCATGTAAAAAACATGATCTTTGTCTGTGCCTCTCTTTACTGTCAGAATATGAAGCTATGAATTTTGCATATTAGCAGAAATATTACCAGAGTGATTTTGTTTCTTAAATGTCTCAAGTTAATAATCTGCTGTTTGGTCTTTTAACCTTGAGTTTCCATGTCTCCACTTGTAAGAAATCACTTTTTAAAAAGCATATATATTTCTCATTGTTATGAAAAAAATTTGGGTAGCAGATTTGAGAACACAATATTTTAACTTTTTAGTTTATTCTGTTCTCTAGTTTGAAAAATAAAACAATTGAAAACGTAAAAAGACAATTATAGTAGATATATTTCCTCTTGTTTTTGGAGAAATGCCAATATTGTGAGGCACTTTCCCAATCCTTTTAAGCAGAATATGAGTTGATTTATTAATAGTTATGTGCTCAGTGAGACACAGCAAGAGGAAAGAACAGATAGGCTTGAATCTATCTGGCTCTGTGTTTCATAAGCTGTGTGTATTGAACCTCATTTTATTAATCTAGAAAATGGGATAATAATATGTACTTTGAAGGGTTATTTTGAGAATTGAAGATAATGTATTTAAAGCACTAGCACATGTAAGCACTTAAAAAGTTTCAGCTATTTCTTATAAGTGGAGGCATGGAAAGTCAACCAGACATTGTTGTTAGGACTGCCTCTTAATAGACTGGGTGAGATTTCTGGGTGAAGCAATGTGGGAAATATTTACTACATAAAGGTAAATAGCATGTGAGTCCTCTGCCTGCTGGGTTAATTTTCTTGATTTACTTTGACTAACTAGGACTTACTTGCTTTTGTCTTAACAAATAATGGGACTGGACGTGGTCATAAATAATACATCCTAATCCTGAGAAAAACTAATTTAAGATACGGCTGTACTAAATGCAAAAAAAAAGTCTGGCTAATTTATTCCTTTAAGATTTCAGTCCTTTAAGCTTATGAATTAAATGACTCTACCCTTGAAACTTTATATTGTTCTCCAAGGGTTAATTTATAGCCTTGATGGGAAGAACTCTATAGGGTACTTTTTTGATACTTTAATTGGCTAATAAATTTTAAGATCCAGAGCCACTCTGAAATATTAAACCTTCAGTTTAAATTACAGTTTTGCCCCTTTCTGATTTTGTTGGGTTTGATATATTAAATTTAGAGTAAATATATAAGTTTACAGAAGGAGTTCAGTACATTTGTTTCTTTGATATGTATAAAAAATTCAAAAACCACTTATTACATTCCCTTGCTGAAAATTAATTAATGTGGCAATTAGGATAAGGTAATAGTGATTTTAAATAGTAGTAATACTTTAATTTTATTATAATTAGATTATCAGAAATAATATAAATTATAACTTGATTTTAGATTCATTGTCCTACTGGTTCATAACTTAGGAAAAGCTAAAAAATACAATAATAATATAAAAACGAATTCATTCCTTAATGAATGTTTTTCCTACAGAAGAAAACATGCTTATAATAGTAGCTTGTAATCAACATTTATGGAGCACTTCCTATGTTGCCAGGCAGTATTCTAAGAGATCTGGATTAATTAACTTGTTTCATTTTCACAACACCCTGCATGGAAGGTATTGCTCTTATCCTTATTTCATGGATAAGAAAAATTGGGAGTAGCATGGTTAAGTATCCTGTCCAAAATTCTCCACTAGTAAGTGGCCAAGAGGCTTGGCCCGGGATCGGGGAGCCTGAGGGTCAGGTTCCCCGGAAACAACTGCTGAAGACAGACGTAGTTTATTGGTGTGTGCTCTTGGGAACAACACCTGGACAGCAGTGAGGGCAGCAGGGTCGGGCGTAGAGGAAGGTGAACCATGATGCAAACACAGCAAGACCTCAGTCTCTCCTGTAGGGAGCTCTGGGATGGAGGTGCCCTTCAGATCTGTGCTCAGTTGAGTCAGGGGGCTGCCCCTGAGGAAGGGGCATAGCCTTGCGTGAGGAAGCTCCCTTTAGCTGAGGGCATTTTTCTGGGGGACACCACACTGCCTGATGGAGGAACGAGTGCCTGGGCTTGAAAGGGGATTCTGGGCAGGGCACTGGGCCATCCACTGCAGCCCACCTGTGACTGTGACCTTATTTAGAAATAGGAACTTTGTTGATGTAAGTTAACGCTCTGAAGATGAGATCACACTGGATTTAGAGTGGACCCTAATTCCAGTTATTGGTGTCATGAGACAAGGGAAAGGGAAGTTCGAGACAGGGGAGAAGGCCCTGTAAAGATGGAGGCAGAGACTGGAGTTACACTGCCATAAAGCAAGAAATGCCAGGAGTCACCAAAAGCTGAAAAGGGCAAGGCAGGATTGTTCCTTAGAGCCCTTGGAGGGAGCATGGCCCTGCTGATACCTACTTACCTTTAATATCGGCTCAGATTTAAGATTTCTGTCCTCAAGAACTGTGAGATAATGAATTTCTGTTGTCTCAAGCCAGTTAGTTTGTGGTACTTTATTATGGCAGCCTAAGGAAATGAATATAGCCCCTCTTGGGCTTCCTGGGTCCACTTACTTCCTAAATGTTTGTTTATTCCATCCGGGAACTGCTCCTCCAGGATTCTGGACTCTGGTTGGTTTCTTTTTCTGGGGAAACTTACAAGAAGATCAGTGGGAGGGGCCGTATCTCTCTGCTGCAGATGGTTTTGGGACTACAGCTGATACTCATCATCTTCCGCTTCTCCTGCCCATTCTAGAATCCCCTCACGCTTGGCTAGCACCCCTCTCTGTCAAGGTGGTGTGACTCAGATCTTCATCCCGGAAGGGTCAAACACCTGAATACCATAACCCTTCTAGGGCTGTATCCACTACATTTGTCCATTTGCTATCAAAATTGGGCAAGGCGCACCAAAAAACATTTCCATATGTCACCTGGGTGTCAAATGAATTCTCCCCTGTCTGCATTGTATAATATTAGCTCTCCCTTCCTCTTAATGATCAGAGTCCATTATTCTTGATAGCATAGTAACTTCTTTCCTTGCAGCTGGTCACTCGGCACAAGAAGACCGAATGACCAACCAGATAGCGGCCTCTGCTTAGTTTAACGGAATGATCACTGTGTCCCATGATGAAGTGCTCCCCAACTCTGGGAATCAGAATGTCTGGATGCACTGAGCCCAGAGTTGTGGTGGTGGCCAAGGTTTTTCACATAGAGTTGGAGTGGTCAGTAGAACCAGCTATGCAGAAGGGATGCTTTGAAGTAACCCTAGCCTGAGGATTTCTGGAGCAGCAGCTGAAGAGATGATAGAGCCCACCCGATTGGCTTTCCCCATTTCTGTAGGCTCAGGGAGGTGCTGTAGCTTATCCAGGGTCACACAGCTGAGCAGCAGCTGAACTAGGCCCTGGACACTCCCATCTTGGTGAGGCACTGTGTTGCTTCCCCTTACTTCACATGGATTAATTTTACTTAATAATGAAAATGAGTTGGCTGGTACTTAAAATATACATTTCTGTTGAATGATTTTCAAATTTGGTTTCTAACTGAAATGTTATTCTAATGAAGTCAATTGAGAGATTTTATTCTCTGTGTGATGTGATATGTGTGTGTATGTGAATGTGTGTGTATGTGAATGTGTATGTGTGGGTGTTTGTGTGTGTGTTTGTGTATTGTGGGCAGGGTGGGGTCATCTCTGAAACCTACATATTTAATATGGGTTTTCATATCCAAGGCAGTTTTACAAAGTCTTTATGCTTCCGTCAGTGTTAGCAGTTCATTAAAAAATTACTATTATAAAATGAACTTAATTGTAGACGTTTTGGTGAGAGAATGAGTCTTTCTCTTGCAGTTAGTCTTAATGAACAGTTTCCTGGAAATGTTGTGTATGCCAAAAGTTTAGGGGAAAAATGAGGACTTTCTAATATGTTGACAAAAAGGTAGTGTTCTTTAAAAATGGCTTAAAATATCCCACAACATTTGATTTAATTTAATTTAATTGTTACCTGCTAGCTGAGATTACAGTGGATAGATATACTGACAATTGTCTCAGTTGTCTTTAAGAATATGACAGAGCTCATTTCTAGGATGCTTTTATTATTATGAGATTTAAAAAGAAACAATTGGAACCAAGATTACTTTCATACTGTTCTGTAGTCACAAATGTTAGACTTGGAAGAGATCTCAGTACAGAAAATTACAATCATTGTCAAGGGGATAAAGTATAGAAGAGAAAACAGCCTTTTAAAACTGTGGATTATTTACATATGTGTGACACTGTTGACAACCAGCCAGAGAGCTGCTTTGTGGTTTCATGTCCTGAAGCTTTGCTGTCATGTTAATTAATAACTTCTTGCAATCCAAACCACCTTTTTTTGCCCAGAGCTGTACTTTAATAGCAAGTTGTTTTTGTTAGAGACTAACAGGACATGAGGCGTACAATATTTGTAGTAGTGTAGTAGAATCCTTAATGCCATTACTATTGAAATAAGAAGATGATTTTTCAGTCTGAAAGCTCCAGCAGTGTTCAAATCACCGACCTAACTATGCATCACCTTTAAAATCTGGACTGTGAGCATTGCTGTTCTCTGCTTCTGCTTGCATATTTTTTCCACACTTTTTGTGAAGATTGGGCACAGATTTGCATGAACAATTACTCTTCCAGGGAAAAGTTCAATCTCACACTCTAAAGCATTCTCTAAAGTTTAGAGAATGGAAAAGACACAAAACAAATGCTCTGCACGTGACCATAATGCGACTTTAGTTTTGAGGATGGCAGAGATGTTTGCTCTCTGAGACAGATGTCCTCTTAGGATTGTGCATATGTGTCTCAGGAGGGCCAATGGATATTAAATTCAACCCTGGATTTATTAACTGAAAAGTAAAAATCATCTGTGACTGAGGATAGCCAGTTAAGGTACTACAATAAACCATTTCTAACTCAGTTATAGACATAACTCTTGTTATAGCTGACCTTGAAAATAAAGGGAAGCATGGTTTGATCACAAGTGGGAAGCCTTTCACACCAGTTGCCCTCATGCTGTGATATGAAAAGGGTATTATCAGGAACATATTTTTAAACCATAATTTATTTCAGACCTATGCTGCAATAAATAACACACATGAACCTTAACATATGCAAATAATAGGGAGTAATCTTTGTATGAGTAATTTTACACATTGTATAGATTGTGGAATCATTCTGAAACAAAAACTGGGCTGTCGGAGACACTGTGGAGTTGAAACATTTTTAATGTGTGATTTTAAGCAAGTCAGTTTGTCCTGAACCCACATGGCAATGGTTATAAAATCTAGCCAGCACACAAAGAAATAAAGGATGTGAAATTCTGGGCCAATTAATAGAAACCATTTGTAGGTTTCTTCTCTTCATCCACCGTGAAGGGCTGGAAGAAGGTAAGTTTTGATGTTAGATTGCTTCTGTAGTGCAACTGCAGAAATCCAGTGATCCAGCAGATCCTTGTTCAGGTTCCTTCTCTTGATATCCAAATGTGGTTGCCCAAATCCAGTCTACCTGAAGCTCTAGCTATACTGTAATAATTGTTAGTTAACTTTGACCAAGTATTACAAAGGGAAAAGTATGGTGGTAGGTGGTAAAATCTTTTTCAGAATCCTTAGTCTTGCTTCATGAATTCTTTCTTTGGGGGGAAGATGGTTTGACAAACATAAATTTATGATAAATCTAATTTAACTACAGGTATTAGTTAAACTTTTAGGACTTTTCCAATAATAATTTTCTTGAGATACATAGCTTATGAGATGAGTGACATATGTACAGCAGCGTTAAAACTTTGTACTCTAAGTAAATATTGGTTAAAATTGTGTATAAGCCATTGAAGTCTAAAAACCTCATGCAAGGTAATATCAGAATTAGCTGACAGATCTTATTTAATATTAGTCACAGCTGTTTGACATTTTTTTTTTTTTTGAGACAGGGTCTTGCTCTGTCACCCAGGCTGAAGTACAGTGGTGCAATCATGGCTCACTGCAGCCTAGAACTCCTAGGCTTAAGTGATCCTCCTGCCTCAGCCACCTGAGTAGCTAGGACTACAGGCAAGTGCCACAACATCTGGTTAATTATTTTATTTTATTTTTGTACAGATGGGGTATTGCTTTGTTGCCCAGGCTAGCCTCAAACTCCTCAATTGAGGCTCAATTGATCCTCCAAGCTCAGCCTCCCAAAGTGCTGGAATTACAGGAATGAGCCACTGTGCCTAGCTAAAAATTGTTGAATATTAAGAGATTCCTTCCTTTCTTTCTCTTATCTCTCTGCATCTTTCCTTTTCTTGCTTCTTTCATTCTCTTTCACAATCACTAATTCATTGTCATTCACTCATTCATTCAACTGTTTATTCACCACCCACTACGTCTCAGGCCCTGTTGTAGAAAGCTGATGATACAAGATGGTAGTCAACAACTTTTAGGAGTTGTTTTCTTGTGGGAGAAGACAGACAGAAAATAGAAATAATGAAATAGAAGACTGTAAAAAGTGCTATAAAGAATAAAAACAGCAGGATGGGCTCAAGAGTGGCTGGGGACAAGGTGATGTGCTCTTATTGAGAGTAGGAAGGAAAGGTTTGTCTAACAGGATGATGTTACAGTTGAGAACTGAATGATAAGGAGGCAGCCATGCTAATACTACCTGGGAGAATGACTTCGAAGGTGAAAAGGACCAGTAAGTACAAAGGCACTGAGACAGGTAGGAGCTTGCTATGGTCAAGGGACAGAAGGAAGACCACTGCTGTTGGAGCTTTGTGATCAAAGGGGAGAACAGGTGAGGGCCAGGTCATGTAGGGTGTCACAGACTGTGATGAGAGATTTGGATTTGTTCCAATCAAATTGGAGGGTATTGAGAGTTTAAGCAAGAGAATGATTTGAAACTTACAAGTACATATTAAGAAGATGTTGATTCTCATTCACTACATCACAGAATATCCAATTAATGAGAATACAGTAGAGAAATTCCTTTCAGGTCTTAATATGGGGAAAATCTGAATTTTGAAACAACATAATTCTCCATTTGATATGACCTCTAGGAAGTTCAAAGCTAATTTGCATCTTTCCTCCAGTAATTATAGATTATTGTACACTGTTGTATTGAATACACTTTTTAAAATTTTAAATTAAATGTCATAAATTTTGGACATTTATGACATCCAAAAGTAAAAAAAAAATAGAAATTTTTATATTGAGAAGATGTTTGCACTCCTGTGTCTACCCAGTTCACCAGCCTCCCTTGACCCCAATAAACAACCTTTTCTCTTACTTTCTTATGTCTTTCCAGTGTTTCTCTGTGCATATACAAGCAAGTATAAATATATATATGCTATTTTTCAGCTTTATCGAGGTATAATTCTCAAGTAAAAATTGTATATATTTAAGGTGTACAACTTGATGTTTTGATATATATGTAAGTTGTGAAATGATCACCACAATTAGGCTAATTAACATATTCATCACTTTACATAGTTACCGTTTCCTTCCTTCTTCACGTCTCTCCCTTCCTCTCTTCTTCCACCAGTCTCTAAGTGCCTTCACAATAGCATGATCCGTATTTTAGTAGTCCTAGGAAACCAATGCCTGGTACATAGTAGGCAATAAATATTTGGTATTTTAATGAATAGTTTGTAATATGTTACTACTGTGCCTAGGAGTCCTAACGAATAGAGCCAAGTTGGTATTCAGAGAAGGAATCAGTGAATAAATTTAATAAATTAGTTAATAAATGTAGGATTTTTATTTTAGGAGAAACCGTTGTATCAATAGCAATAAAGAAATATTATCATTATGAAATGGACTAATCTTGTCTTATTTAGCTGGATGCTAGTATAACATAAATTAACATGATATCCCATCAAAACATGACTTTAGAGCAAATGAAATTCTATACTGTATGGCAGGTGAGGATTTTAATGAACATATTCATAAATAAAAGTGTCCAGTGAATAATTAGAAGCTAACATAGAGAAATGGTCAGGCAAAAGAATGATTCTGAGGAGAAAATTCTGCATTGGGGACCTTTAGATGACATGAGTGTTCAAAGAAAATCCTGGAAAAAATTTTAAAAGAAAATGCTTAAACTTTTCTATGTGTAATCATATATGATTGTAACATGCATTCAGTAATACTGCTGCACATTTTGGACTTGATTATTTTATGATTTGTATCTAGATGAGCTGAAAAAACATTCTAAACCATTCAAAATGTGATATTACTGCTCATGAAACATGTATGTGCAATAAAACTCTCTAGTCATTGGGTAAGAATGTCCGGCTGGAGAACTGCCCATATTTAATAATCCTTTTGTATATGAAACAACTAATCAGAGAAAACTGTGGACACCAAATAGCAAGCTGATGAGGTTTTGCTTTTAGGGTAATGGTGGTCAGGCATTGAAACCAACTACCTAGTCAGACTCATTTAAATGTGTACCTGCCAGATTTTACACATCACAATGACTAAATGTGCATGTATCTTCAAAACTGTTTCATGCTATTCAATAATCTTGGCATGAACATATGACAGAATGATTTCATCGGACTACAGGGATTATGATATTGAATATCATTCTGCAAACATTTATAAAGCATTTAAGATATACCTTGTTTTAAACAAGTCTGATTTATAAAAATACACCTATTTTATGAAGAGATTATTTTCTTTATAAATGATTTCTTCAAAATTGCCATTAGGTGTAATTTTCGTCATGCATTCAAATTATAATTCAACCTACAAATATCTATTTTCATTCCATTTTTTCCAGAAACATGTAAATATATTAAGTATTATACTTGGACATAATATACCTCTTTGTTCTTGGTAAAATTACAAACATTGTTTAAACTTTTGACATTTCTGCAAATTCCTTACAAGAATTGGCTAATGCTTCTTTTGAATATTTTCATTATTTTAGCAATTTTAATTGATAGGCTTCCATGTTTAAATTATTACAGTGGCTATAGAGTATGTATTTAGAGTTAAAGCCACTTAAAATATAGTGTAAAACAGTAAATTATTGAGATATACCTTATTTTGCTAATAGGAAATATAACCTGGTATCATTTCATGCCTGGCAATCCTTGCTCACTTGTAAAAGACTGAAGTTAAATATGCAACTTAGTAGTAGGAACTCTATCCAAAGTATAGGACAACTTGACAGCCATCAGGTGTATTGTATATTAAGCTTATAAATTATTTTCTATTCTATACCAATATACTCCATAAACATATAAATGGATTTTATAGCCTTGCACACATTTTGATTTTTTCTATTTAAAAAATGTATACCAGATTAGTTGGAATGATCTCTGGATGTAATTGGAACTATCTCTTCCTGTGGATTTTCTTCAAATTATTCTTTAATCAGGAATCTTGTGTAAACTTCATAGATGCTGCACTAAATACTGTACCAGATGCTGAGAAAGTTTTTGTGTATAATACTTAATACCTGTGAATATGGGAAAGAGAGCTCTCTTGGAACCTTGTTGACCAAGTATTACTTATATGCCAGTAAAGGAAGCTAAAATAGAAAAGGAATTAGAGTAAAATCTAGTTAAACCTTAAGCTTCCTTTTGTATAAGAAGTATAAATACACTACCTATATTTCTTGAACTAAAACAAAAAGTCTTGTCTCTGTTTCTTAAAACCTAGCTTTAAGAATAATTGTCTCATTTGATTAATAAAAATATTGAATATAAACAGTCTGGTTTTTTAAGTTGGCAAAAAATAGTTCAGCTTTTAGAGCTATCATTCTAATCTACCTAAGATGAAATGCACTTAGCATTCGAATAGATCAGTTTTCCCATAGGTCTTACATGTCTTGCTGGGTATGCCAAGAATGCAAGGTCCTGACCACTCTTTACCTGGATTATTTATCAGGGTTGCATTTTCAGCAAGCGGTCTCGAGGGATGAGGTAATGTCTCCATTCAGGATGAAGAGCTGGCTTCGTTACCGCTTGCTATAAAGTGATGGGTTCTTTAGGCTCAGTGTTCCTACTCTATCTGTGTGCAGGCATCATCTGGCCATCTATTTTGCCCTTAAAACTTAGACTTGGGTAATTGATATGAATATGCTGATATGCGGCTACCACCTTTGCTATGAGTAATGAAGGCTTTCATCTCTGATCCAGGAGTCTTCTGTCTTCTCTCAGCCTCTAAACTGGGTAATTGTAAGAATCACCTTGTTTCTCTCAGCCCAGGGATCACAATTTTGTCTTGCTTGTTCTCTGATGTCTGAGAGGAGCTAGTTCCTATATTTTGTCCAGTTTTCTAGTTGTTTATGACAAAAGGGTAAGTCCAGTCCCAATTACACCAGCATGCTGGGAAGTAGAAATTTGAAACTTAATTAATTTAAATTAATTAATTATTTTTGGGCGGTTATCTGTTAAAATTTATCATCTTTTCCTTATCAACAGCAACAAAAAATATACAGCTTTTAAAGCCTCTGTCTGACAATGCAGCTTTAATATCTGAAGCTTTATGGATCTGTTGTTTCTAGTGTATTTTTCTTTTTGTCTTTTTTCTTTGTATTCCTGGTTACCTTTGATTGTATGTGGATATTGTGTTTGAAAAGCTGTTTGCAAAAATACTTTGAGGCCCAGCATGATGAGGCATCCAGGCTCTAAGATAGCCCCCAACGACATCAATCCTTGTGTATTGTCCTTTATTGAGGGTGAACTGGACTTAGTAACTCACTTCTGACTAATAGAAAATGGTAGAAGTAATGGTATGTCACTTTTTTTTTTTTTGAGATGGGGTCTTGCTCTGTCACCCAGGCTGGAGTGTAGTGGCGTGATCTCAGCTCACTGCAGCCTCCGCCTCATAGGTTCAAACAATTCTCCTACCTCAGCCTCCCAGGTAGCTGGGATTACAGGGGTGCGCCACCATGCCTGGCTAATTTTTGCATTTTTAGTAGAGACAGGGTTTCACGATGTTGTCCAGGCTGGTCTTGAGCTCCCGACCTCAGGTGACCCACCCGCCTTGGTCTCCCAAACTGCTAGGATTACAGACGTGAGCCACTGCACTTGGCCAGTATGTCACTTTTGAGATTGTGGCTTCCATATTGGACTCCCTCTTGTGCTCTTGGATCCCTCTGGGAGAAGCACATTGAGAGCAGCCCTATGGTGAACCCACACAGTGAGGAACTGAAGCTCCTGCCAACAGTCAGATGAGTCAACTTGGAGGTGGCTCCTTCAGACCCAGTCAAGGCTTACATGATTGCGGCTCGATCTGGCACCTTGATTGCAGCCTGTTGGAAGTCCTGAAGCAAAACCACCAAGCTAAGCTACTCGTAGATTCCTGACTCAAAACTGTGAGATGATAAATATATCTTGTTTTAAGCCACTAAATTTGGAATAATGTTGTATGCAGCAACTGATAACTAATGCAGATGATGATCTCTTTTTAACAGTATTTAAACCTTCTGCCAGTTGCCTGGGGGTGCTAACACTTTAGGAAACCTGGGGAGACTAGGAGGTAGAAAGATCTCTTTTCCAGTCTCAAATATTGCAATAATTCAAAGCTGAGTTGCAAGGGCGGAAGTTGTGGTTCAGCTTTACTCCTCAGGAACAGCCTTTAGGGATCACAGCCAAAAGTGAGGGAGTCCAGCAGGGCTTTCCCCAACCCTTTGTAGGCCCTGAAGACCAACCTCTGTGGCCTGGGCACCAAGAGGATATTGCAAATCCTGTTCAGCCTCAGTCTCTAGTTCTCCCTGCTGGAACCCATGTAAGTTCCCATGGAAAGAAGTTGCTTCAAATTTGTATTTACCTAGACTCCTTTCCCAGTAAATCTTTACTATACGTGAGAGATCTGTGTGCCTTTAATGGGTTGTTTCTTTAAATATTTTGTCCAATTTTTCTAGTCATCCTCTGAGAGGATTTAATCACTTAGTTTCTTAGTTTTCTGTTCTATATTAATATATTCCATAAACATATAAATGGACTTTATATCCTTGCACACATTTTGATTTTTTTCTATTTAAAAAATGTATACCAGGTTAGTTAGAATGATCTCTGGTTGTAATTGGAGCTATCTCTTGCTGTGAATTTTCCTCAAATTATTCTTTAATCAGGAATCTTGTGTAATCAAAAGTAGGAATCAAACTCCACATTCATTTCTCTCAGAGAAGTTAAAAAGCAATGAGGGAAAAGTTTTTTTCCTGCAAATACTACTTAAGTCGCAAAGCATTTTTGGTGATATGTTTCAGTATGGCTGTTTATTGAATTCTATAGGAATTCAGTGTCCCCTCTATCTAACATGCTGGAGGGTGCTTTTTTGGTGACCAGTCTAATTTTGCCTGCTCACACATTTTACATGGTGACATTGCCGTTTTCCAACAATACATGGGCATTAAGGTGTTAATTCTGACGTTCAATCATTTTCCAACTCGTACTTTGGACGGATAGACTTGTATTTTGATGTTACTTGGGTAATAGGGAACTAAATATCATATTCTATCTCTTTGAATATTTGCTATTCTCTGCAAAGTCACTATTGATGGTTTTTATTTTTACACATGTTTTTTAGTAAAGAAGTAAATAAGCTTGTTCTGAGTTAAGCATAAAATCCAAATCACATGGAATCTATATGAAGTCTCTATGCTGATGTATATAGAGCCCTGACTTTTAAAAATTTGTTGTATTGTATCAACTTTAGTTTGGGGAGAGAGACAGAAGGAGGGAGAGAGAGACAGAGAGAGAGAGAGAGAGAGAGAGAGAGAGAGAGAAAAGAGAGAATAGCTTACAGGATTTTTAGTTTACCTAATGACCTCTGCCTGTACTATTTGTACTAAGACTTAAGGGATACATTTCTATTAGCATTTTAATAGCTCAGTACTGTTCTCCAAAAGATTCTGATTCTCCTTCAAGAAATCAATGAAAAGAGGCTTCGTTAAAGAGTTTTGAAATTGTTAGCGTACAGTTTTTATTACATGCTCCTACTTAGTTTTGTTAAAAATATGTCAGGCTTGGTATGAATTAGTTTCATGACAATAAAGTGTTCATTCTCTAGTCATGCAATTTATGTCCCGGAAAAATGCTATGATAGGGAAATTAATAGTTGGGGATCTTAAGGCCTTATATTGGGGGAAAAAAGCCTATATAATTTTTTAAAGAAGTAGATTTATGTATATTGATTTAGAAAATGTGCTGATATATTCTGAATGAAAAAAGCAGTTGTATAGTATGCTGCCATTGGTGTAGAACAAAAACAAAACCCTCCAAATTCCTGTGTGTGTGTGTGTGTATATATATATACACACACTTATATATATACACATAAGTATGTATATACTTATGTATATACATAAGTATGTACATATGTATACACCTACTTATAAATGTAAACAAAATGTTTAGAAGGATACAGAGGAAATTGAGGAATGGGGTTGAGGATTTGGTATGGGGAAGAGTCTTACTTTTTCATGGTTCATCTTTGAGGTTTTGGCTTTTTCTCATTTCATGTCATTTTCCCAATTAACTAGCTAGTTACTTTAAACATTGAGCATATACATATTAGTTGTGCAATCTTACATTAGTTGTAGAGAACTGTATACAATTATTTCATTTTATCATCTTGTTTTAGGATCTCTCGTTCATAGTCTTTTTACTACATATTGGGTTTATACATTTATGTCTTTAGCTATGGATAGTATAAATTTTAAATCTATTAGATAATGTTTTCCCCTCTATCCCAGTGTTTAATGCTTTCTGGTTATATGTATTAAAGTTGCTAAATCTCCCTAAGCAACATTTTGGATTGGAACAGTTGTCAATTTGTATATACAAAATCCAGAGTCAGACATTCTGGAAGGAATTTAAATTCTATCACTTAATAGCTGTAAGACCTTGTATGGGAAATTTAACCATTTCCAACTCTTCTGTCTCTCTGTCTGTCCATGTGCATAGAGTCAACATTCACAACTATTTTTCAGACCCTCAGTTTTCTCTCAGAGAACATAAATAATGACGCCATCTTTCTTACCTACCTTACATGTTTGTGATGAGCAACAAAAGAGAATATACATGAAAGCTTTCGTATGTTGTAAAACAATATGCAAACATAAAGTGTGATTGTTCGTAGTCCTTTGCTTGACTGTAAAGTGTTAAGTAAAGACTACTGAGTTGAGATGTCCAATTTTCCCATATTTTGAAATAAGAAAAGACATTGAAGGAGTCAGATAATATTTATGAAGCCAAAAATCTAAGGCAAAAATTGGATGTATCATTTGTAACTTGAGACAAAGAGCAACCAAAGATACTCTATGTTAAGGGGATAAAAATTCTGGATAATAAAAGATATTTGTTGTACTGAAGAGAAGGGAAGGAAGGCATCTCATCTTGTTGGGAGTGGGGCGGGTGAGGTGGGTGTGTTCCCGCCAGGTGGTTTCTGTCCCTTTCCTTCCTCTGAATTTTAAAAGCATGACCTCCCTCTTGTGCTTTTGATAAGTTTAACATCAAGTGCAGGGCCTTGAATGTCAGCTCCTGACCTCAGGGACAACTTTCTGGGAAGCCTTGGAAAGTGAATAAGTATGGGAAAGTCTTCCTCTTGCAAATGTCCCCTCCTCACCTATCCCTTGGACAATCCACTGAAAATGTCCAGGTTCTTGCTCTATGTTTCTCTAAATTATAAATACAGTTACTTAAGGATCTATGTGCTGCAGCCAGATGGTAATAATCTTAAGAGCACAAAGGAAAAAAAAGGCAACATCTTTATCCCTTCTTACAATACATGGATTTAAACCTATAATATTTAGAGTGTATTTCATTTTAGTTTATAAAAATATGTTCTATTTCTTAAATTTAATAACCTATATACCTTCTATTCTAAGTTATGATCTGTCATTATACTATGTCACAATCTTTTCCATTTTATATATTTTCTCTTTCTTTCCTACTCTCTTTCAGAAAATAGACTTAGCAGGATAGAAAAACAAATGTTAGCTTTTAAAGGGTAGATAAATATAAATTTCCCACTGAGATATACTAAATACTGATATGTCCTGAGATACAAAGTAGAGTTATTTGTTTTTATGGTTTCAGAACTATGTTTTATTATTTTTTTAAAAAGCTATATCCATCAGCTTTATTTAGCTAGGCCCTAGATGGCTATATATTGGATATATAACAAATGGACACTGAAGGAAAACAGAAATGATATTTCATAGAAGAAAAGGATAAACGTGTTTTCAATGAAAAACTCTACATTGTTAGATGACGGGCCTAAAATTGCATTTGAATTTTGGTGATACTATTGCTTAGTATGGGTCAGGGCCTAGGATTGGAAAGGGCTGTGCCTGAGTCCTCTTTGGGGCTTCCTAAGGCTGGTGGAAGTAGTTTTCTGAGGACCTGATGTTTGTCAGAAGCTTGTGATTCATATGTTATTCCTCTGCTCACTGGATTGCTTCTCCTTTTAAACACATTTGAGCTTTTCTTGGTCTGGAAGCCCATTTTGGGAACAATGGCATACAGTGATTCAATTATGTCTTTCAGTTGAAAGTGGAGGCTGAAAATAGGGTTTTTACATGTTCTGTAGATATTTTACCCTGCTAGTTTTTTAATTATTATTGTTTTAACCAAATAATATATAGATCAGCAACTTTTTCTTATTATATTCCTTTCCAGTTACTGGCATGAAGTTGTAGCTGGCAATAATAACATAGCTAAGATTTATTGACTTCTTACTATATGCTAGGCAATACCATTTAACTTTATATGGAATATCTAACCCATTTATGAGTCAGAAGCACAAGTTTCTGACAACCACCACATTTTCAGAAAACTATTTCCACCAGCCTTAAGATGCCCCAAAGAGAGCTCAAGCAGAGCCCTTTCCAGTCCTAGTCCCTGACCCATACTAAGTAATAACATTGCTAAAGTTCAAAGTTCTTCACTACAACCCCATGAGGTCAGTCCTGTTACTAAACCATTTTATAGATGTGGAAACTGAAGCTTTAATAGCAGTGAAATAATGTGCCTGAGGTCAAACAGATCATACATGGTGGAGTCAGGATGCCTAATTTGTGATATTAAGGAGGTTTACAAATGTCTCAGGAAACAAATCTCCCTTAGGAAGATGTTCCACTTCACATGGAAAATGTTTGTATCAGCATTGACAAAATCATTCAGCACAAAGTGTGTCTAAGAAGGGGTTGGAACTTGAGCTCATCAAAATAACACTTAGCATTTACATAGCAGTATACATTTGTGTTTTGCTTTGCTTTTTCCCTTCTGTATCCATCTCTAATTAAATCATTGGAGACTTTTGTCAGTTGAACCAGTATAATTAATGCCAGCTTAAGATGAGGCACTGAAGCTCAGGTTCATAGATAGGGTATTAATTCATTTGTAACAGTAGAAATGTACCAGTGATCTGTGTACAACCTTGGTATTGCTGAGCTATTCATGCTAATAATATTGGTTACAATGCAGAGAAAAGCTCCAATCAGCTGCTGGTCCATCAGGTGTAGAATTGGTGGCCTGGCAGATTTAATGTTGGGAAGACCCTACCTAAGTATTAGATTAGTACTTGTTGGGTTAAGTGGGTACATTTAGGTCTTGAATATTCTATTTTTACATCTGGATTGGGTTTTGTAAGTTGGAAACCATGAGCGAGAGAAAGAGAGGGAGATAGACATAGAGAGAGAGAGAGAGAGAGAGAGAGAGAGAGAGAGAGAGAGAGAGAGAATGTGTAGATACTGCTGGAGACAGAGAAAAGGACTGCCACATCTTGGAGCTGACCTTCCTTTGGCCCTCAGTCTCCTGCCACATCCCATTATGTAAATCTAACTAGAAGCCACTTCGCAGGGGTGCCTGAGAGAGGTAGCCTGCAGGGTCATTCCTGGGAAGGGCAAGGCAGAGCAGGGCAAGGGAAGGGAAGGGTCTGATATCAGACAGGGAGGACTGGCACATCATTTGTGGGGACGGTGGTCGGGGCTCTTTGCCTTTGCTTTCCCTTTCATTGAGAAGAGAAGAGCAAAAACTTTGATTTTTGGATTTTTTGATGATTTTTTTAAAGTCTCTTTTGTTTCTTTTTTTTTAATGAAACGTAAAATTCCTTTGAAGAAATTCTATAATGAGAGCTTTGAAGGCAGGAGTTTTATCACTTGGGCAAATGCTTCAATCCTAACCTTCCCTCTCAGGGTTTTTAAACGAGAGATTCTCAAATACACTCTACCTTCAGGGCTATTCCATTTTGTCGTGAGAATATGCTTCAGAGGAAGCATAACTCCCCTGACAAATCTAATGTTGAAATGTTCTATGGGAGCTGCTACTTTCTGATTTGGCTTATTTCCACACATGGGGAGTAGGAATTCTTCATAGTTCTTTAAAATTCTGGCCTCCATTGTGTAACTGCAAAGACATTATCTTCTTGGAAATGTAATAGAATATTTTGGGGTCAGTTGATGAAAGCAGTTATCACTGTAGTATTTTCTGTTGTGAAATCTCCATTTGGTATTTTTTAGATCAGAAGATTGGGTACATCAGAGTATTGTAATGATGTTTTCATTGTTTTTTGGGGATTAACTCTGCTGTGTATGCATCTGTGGAATATTTGTGTGTGCACCTGAGAAACTGCAACCTTAGAGGACAGTATTTGAACTGATACTACCACCAGTCTAATAAACTTTAGAATCAGTGAACATTCTAATTATCAACACTTGAAAACAGAGAATTCCATTTGTTTTATTTTCTTTAGAGTTTTCAGCATATATCTGCACATATTTGTATAGTATATGTAGATATTTGGATTGTAACATGGAATATCATTTAACAGCCATGTAAATACAGATTTCTAGATTTAATATGGTGTGTGCAAGAGACGGCATTTTATTTCAAAATTGAGCTCATCGACTTTTAGAATTTCATGAGTCCTGACTTGGCCAGACAATCATTCCCTTTTTAACTTCAAAGCAAACAAGATAAATCTCATAATGGGAAACACTGTGAGGTGCTTATATGATATAATGAACAAGAGAATATTAGCGCTTCTCTGTGAAATTAAGGCTTGGAGAAGAAAAACCGTAACAGCTGTTTTCCAGTTTGTCCTTAGGAAGCATAGAGCTTCTACATACTAAGTTTATGAACCAAGTAACTTGATTCCATAATGAAAATTCCATTCATTTGGAAATATGGGTCTGATTTTCTATTAATACAGTTATAGAATTTTATTTAGAATTTTAGCAAAATATTGTTTCTCTTTGGGTGATAGAAACTTGTTCTAAATTGAAGTATTTCATTTAAAAATAATGTTATACTAATTCTCTGCAGTTACCTTCCCCTCTTGTGTACTTTTTTCTTCTTTTAACTCATTTTAATTGGCAAGAAGGTGAATGAAACTTCAGTTTTCATAAAATAATGTATCCGAATTAACATTTATTTCTATATCTGAACATTTATTTCTGTATATGACTGAAGATTGATGTGGATTAAAAATAGGAAAAAAAGTTAAACAAAAAGGCAGAGGGCATACTGATGTAATTACAATAGTAGAGTGAATGGATTGTCCTGATTATCCAGATCAGTGGTTCTCAAGGTGTGGTCCCTGGACCAGCAGCATCAACAACACCAGAGAACTCGTTAAAAATGCAAATTCTCGTGCTCCCCCCAGGTGTACTGAAGCAGAAACTGGCAGTAGAAAGAGGCGGGGGAGAGAAGCAATTTGTGCTTTAACAAGCCCTCCAGGTGATTCTGTGGACCCTAGAATAATTACTGTAATTGGGTATCACTTGTCAATTCAGCTCACCCTGTTATAAGCCAGATGTAACAGATGGCATAGATACTCTAAAAAACAAAATCGTCAACACTACTGCTGCTGGTTGTTGGATTTGTAGAAGCTTTTCTTGTGAAGAAAAATTTGCATGGCTGTTTTGGGGATGAGCCAATAGTAGCTCTAAAGGCAGGGATGTGTGCGCCATTCTTAAATGTTGCCACGGAAGCATTAAGGCCATAGTGATGGGAGCTAGAGGAACCAGGCATGGGTGAGTACTTTCTCATTTAGTTAAAATGGTGCTTGCTTTTATTTGTGTCATGTTAATAGGATAAAAGAAGGTAATAGACATGAAAATGATTTGCACGACTTGATGGATTTAGAAAAGTTAGACAATTTAAAGTTAGCAGTTGAGGAAGATGTTTTATAAAATAAACTTTGAGTCAGAACTAGAGCTAAAGGGCATGAGGTTAGTAGATGAACTTGTTGACATCTATTTTGGGTTTACGGAGGCCTGTTTTCTTACTTTTTGGTTAGATGTGTTTGAAATTACTATATAATTAGACTATAAGTAGGTAAACTTATGTAAAGCACAACATAAATGAACTTGTGCATTTATTCAGTCAACAAACATTTAAGTGCTCTAGGGGCTGGGGAATCAACAATGAAGAAAACAGATGGTCATGCCTTCATGGAACTCATACTCTAGTGGGTTGCAGTTATATTTTAGTATGTACATGTTACAGGTAAGCTATACATGGGTACTTATGAGTAAACTGAGGTTGATTAGTGGAAAAAATCACAACGCAAAAAAGTCCCATATGGCAATAACAGTTTACCTACTTATAGCCCAAATATATTATAATATCAAACACATCTAACCAGAATGTAAGAAAAAAGTCCTCTGCAAACCCAAAATAGATGTCAACAAGTTCATCTACTAACCTCATGCCCTTTACCTATAGCTCTGACTCAAAGTTTATTTTATAGAACGTCTTCCTTGACTTGTTATTTTAAGTTGTCTACCTTTTCTAAATCCATCAAGTCCTTCCAGTACACCATGACTTTTCTCATGCTCTGTTCTTTTGTGCCTGTAATTCCCTCACTTCCTCTGTTTTGCTTAATAAAATTGTATATATTCTTCAAAATCCAGCTCACATCTCACTTCCGAGAACCGTTCTCAGAGACGGAGCTAGTTTCCGCATCTCCTGTGCACTCACAGCAGCGTGTCATATCTGCATTAGCATCTGGAGCTCCACTGTTGGGTTCCTCTCTCTGTGTGCTTATCTTCTCCGTTGGACTGCAGATTCCTGGAGGACAGGGACTGAGTCTAAAGGAGCTCAGATCATCAGCAGCTACTGCACTGTTGATGATAAATAAAAGAGGCTCAATAAATGCTTGCTATATGAATGATTTTAACATGGTAGTCTGGTTTCCAATCTCACAGCCCCTGAGAGATAGCAAATTAAAAGAAAGTTTCCTGGTGGAGAGATACTATAGCAGCGAAGACAGACTCCTGACAACTTTACAACAAAAGGCAAAACAGAAAACCTATATACTATATATACAGAAGCCTAGATAGAAGCGCAGCCTGGAGAACAAATTATTACTTTTTTTTTTTTTAAATGGAGTCTTGCTCTGTTGCCCAGGCTGGAGTGAAGTGGCATGATCTCAGCTCATTGCAAGCTCTGCCTTCCAGGTTCAAGCAATTCTCTTACCTCAGCCTCCTGAGTAGCTGGGATTACAGGCATGTGCCACCATGCTCAGCTAATTTTTGTATTTTTAATAGAGACGGGGTTTCACCATGTTGGCCAGGCTGGGCTCGAACTCCTGGCCTCAAGTGATCCACCTGCCTCTGCCTCCCAAAGTTCTAAGATTACATTCGTGAGCCACTGCACCCAGCCCCAAATTATTACTTTTAATCTTGTAAATCCTATAGCATGGTAATCTTTTGTGGCCAAGAAACACTTTATTGAGCAGCTATGAATACCTTTTTGAAATATTGTGTTGAGCGAAAGAAAATTGCTGCATGGCATTTTGCAAAGAAGCTGCGTAGTACAGTTCTTATTTGGAGTCTACTCCCCAGTCTGCCACATGGCAAGTGTAAGTTTCATCTAAATCACTAAAATTCCACCAGAAGTGATTTCCTTTTGTGCAAAATGGAGCCAAGCAAACCTACAACATAGAATTGTTTTCATAATTAGATAAAATAATGTGTGTGAAGGGCATTTAATAAACAAAATCACTTGCAGACATGGTGGGAACTCATATCACAAAATGTATGTTAAAGACAGGATCCAAGCAATTTACAGAAGTATTTAATTTTTCCATTCCCATCTCTTCCTTCCTATGATATTTCCCTTGACAATTCATGAAGTCAGATGATTCTTTGTTTACATAAAATGGCCCAGATCCAGTCGTTCTCTTGAGCTGGCCTGGCTCTTTCTAAAGTAGGTTTGTTACTGAGCCTAAATGGTTGGTAAATGAATTATAAATTCAAAGAAGGAAATCAGATGTTATGAACTGAACACCAGTACCAGAAAGCAGGCCTAGACCTGGTGAATTTAACAGAGGTTTGGATTTTAAAGACTTGTGAAGGAGTGTTTACTACACTGGACTTCTGACATATTTACAGGTAATTGAAAGTTTATATGTGCATTTTTCTTATTTAACATTTTTGTCTTCACACAGTTCTTTAGCTGCTGCCTCACATTGACATCATTGATGACAAAGCCTGTAGTGACACACATTTTGACAAGGAATAGTTAGAAAGCTGTGGTTCAGCAGGAAAGCTGAAGTCAGCTGTATTTCACTTTTCAAATCAGTGAGCTTTGCCTTTAATCCCCTCAGATCCAGGTCACAGGGTTAGCTCTGTGGGACAGTTTTCACTGCAGCTCAGATTATTTTCTTTCTGAAAAGCAACTGTACTATGAGCTGGTATCACTTGTTAATACTTTAGAGGATGTCCTCTTGGAGGGAACATTTTGTGGACTCTGGGGAGCCTCGTTTATAGCCTTGAAGTAGTACTGGGATGGAGAAGAACTTGGAAAGACTAAAAATGAATGGGAGGGGGGTCATAGGCAGCTTTACCTTCATTTGCTTTGCAGTTTTGCCTGGTTGTAGTTCCCAGGGTGCTATCGAAACAAAATTAATATTTGTTTAGTGATAACTAACATAATCCAAATTACAAATGTAATAATTTTTAAGTCCATATGTAGAATAATATTTAATTTGGGGTTAATAGGTAGATTGTTAGCCTGGGCAACATGGTGAGACCCCATCTCTATAAAAAATAGAAAAATTAACTGAGCATGATGGCGTACACCTGTGGTTTCAGCTACTTGGGAGGCTGAGGCAGGGGGATCATTTGAGCTCAGGAGTATGAGGCTGCAGTGAGCTATGTTCATGCCACTGAACTTCAGCCTGGGTGATAGAGAGATACACCATCTCAAAACAAAAGAATAGGCAGATTGTTGTCTTATTTCTCTGATTAAAACAATTTCTTTTGAAAGGCCTGAGCATGTTATGCTGAGTACATCGATATCCTGGCAAGGGGTGTGTGTGTGTGTGTGTGTGCGCGCGCATGTGTGTATAAATGCTATTTGAACAATGGGAATATATAAAATGATTGGACCATTGTACATAAGTAGTTATAGTTTCTATTTAATATTTCATTTTCATCAATTGCATGTATTAAATAATTTACTAGTTTTAGTGTATGAAAGCTAAGAGCTATATTAGTATTTGTCACATTAATGCTTTAAAAAATAAGTAATTGCATAGCATTCATGAAATTTAATGTGCTTTTATCACAGTAACAGTATTTCCTTCTTATAAAATAAAACAAATACAAAATAGCACTATTGATTATTATGTCAGTTCAGAGATGCTCTGAGGTTCAGCCTCCATGATGGAATTAGATAGGCAAGAGATTCATTGGGAGGGAAGTTTGTGAAGGACACAGGGACAAGGGAGAAGGAATAGGTGGGTAGGACTCAGACTGTGATGCCAGTCTGACACTTGTGAATGGAAAGAAGGAAGGAAGGAGGTTGGGCAGGAAGAGACTCAGACTGAATAGAGCTTTGAAAAAATCTTGGTTAGACCAGGGGGTCCTCTACAGCAAAGACTGCCCAGCAGATGAGTCAACCATTGAGCAGGAAAGCCCAGCCCCAACATGTTTAGGCATTGACGAGGAGAGGCTTGGGGATAGGATGCTGCCACAGATCCTGAAGGCATGGCAGCTGGAGGCTGTCAGCTAACTGCTGGATACTCTGAAGATGTCTGGAATCCTTGTCTTGCTAGAAACGGTGAAAAAAATCTTTATGATTTCCTAAATATAACCCTCTTGAGCTCTCTCTATCTTTGCCCACCACCCCCACCCCCTTAAATAGATTTCACATCTAGGATGCAATAGGGCCCCTGTGTCTGCCCCTTTCTGTCTCCAGCAGTGTCGCATTACTATGCAGTCCCCTAAAATGTCTAACTGCAGTCCCGTAAGGCCCTTATTAAATAGGAAAGACAGTGCTTCCTTCAGGAGCTCCAGCTGGATGTGGGCCTCTCAGGTTTGGCTCTCCATTTTTGCCTGCATGCACGGGATGGTCTCAAAGTTTAGCTGCATCTCTTTATTCTTAATGCTCCTCTTTCCCAAGACCTGGACTTCAGCTTACACCTCGCTGTGAGCTTAGCAAGGCAATAAGCTTGTTGTAGTCAGTCCAGTTTCTGTTTAACTTATTGCCTGAGGGATTCTTAGAATATCTAGCATTTCATAGTCCTCGAAGTGGAAGTGCTTACTGTGTCCTTTGAGATGTTTGCAAAGCCTTTATCCTGAAGATGATGCTTTTGTGATTGTCAAATAAAAGGACTTCCAGCTGCCTGGTTCTATCATACTCAATTTGTAATAAGTAACAAATACTGCTTGTTTTTCTCACAACATTTTGTTCCTGGAACACTTATGTAGATCCTTCTTAGTTTCAGAAAAAAAATTTAGGGTTATTTGGATGGATTTAGATTTTTCACATTTGAGATATATGAAATAAAACTCAACCTTTAACAGTTTTTTTTTGTTTTTTTGTTTGTTTGTTTGTTTTTGCGATGGAGTCTTGCCTTGTTGCCCAGGCTGGAGTGCAGCAGCACAGTCTTGGCTCACTGCAACCTCTGCCTCCTGGGTTCAAGAGATTCTCATGCCTCAGCCTCCTTAGTAGCTGGGACTACAGGCACGTGCCACCACACCTGGCTAATTTTTGTATTTTTATTAGAGACGAGGTTTCACCATGTTGGCCAGGCTGGTCTTGAACTCCTGACCCCAGGCGATCCACCCGCCTGGGCCTCCCAAATTGCTGGGATTACAGCCTCAACCTTTAATTTTTAAAGCTTCTTTAGTAGGGTGCTAAATTGACAAGTTAATACATGTTAGGAGAGTATTAGATTGACAAATGAATATTTGTTAGAGGCTTAATGCTACCTTATATTAAAGATGTAAATAAACAAATATATTCTTTCCATTCTGTGTAGAAATTGTGTGGAACTATAGTATCAAGCTGTATGATGAGCTATATATATCAACATGGGCACAAACCCATGATGATAATTGGCATTATGGATTTTGTGTTTATGTTGTGGTGTGTCACAAGCACTAGATGACTGTGTGGCCACTTTGTACATCAGCCCTTTGGGCAATGACAGGAGTGTCTGGAAAGTGGTTGACTGGTATCAACAGAACAAGTCATCCTGTCCTCTTGATATTAAACTCTTTCTCTGCTGAAACCACCCTTTGATGAGCATGCACGTGGGACACAATTATCTTCAAGTATTTTTGCCCATTTAGAGAAGTCTGTCCACATATCTCTTCCCCTGACCTTTTCACCAATTTTCCAATCATGTTCCAAGTTTCTCAACATACGACCAAGTCACTGGCTTCATCCCATTTATCAGTATAGAACTGTACATTTGGCCATTTCTCCTTCCAAGCAAAATAAACAACCAGAAGCAGTATTTGAAGTTCTGCCCTCTGGGAGGATTTCCCTTCGCTGCTGTCCTTCATAGGTGTTCCTGAAATGGGCTATAGTGCTGCAGCCGTCCACTTTCAGATGGTGCCTGCATGTCATGTGGAAGCATCTGTGAACAGGCCCAAGTTTTCTCCCATAAGGTTGTAGTTGTGGACAGAGGGAGAGGAGATAACATAGCAGGAGTCAGGTCCATGGGGATTTGGGCCACTTCCTCATGTAACTTACTTGTACCTTCAGTGCCACTTTGAGCCTATATATATTAATAACACTTCCATTTGATAGTGGATTACTGTTATGCACACCCAACTTTATATCTTGGAAGGTCATTAACATCCTGTTCATGATGAGCGTAGTAAGTGTCCAATTTCTATTAAGGCCCAGTAGCAAGCCAAAGGCTATTTCTCAAAAGGGAGAGTAGTTGTCTGCAGAGAATGGCAGGGCTTTGCTCTAAAATCCTAAGGGCTTGTGCTGTGATTCACCTAGCTGGGCCTGCCAAAGGCTCCAGACAGTATCCCTGTCTGCCTCTGGCACTTCAAGCCATTGTATCTGCCAGATCCTTTGGCCCAAGAATCAGAGCAGCCAGCATAGCATCCTGGACTTGTTACAGAACCTTATTCTGTTCAGGACCCACTGAAAACTAGCAGCTTTTGGGTCACTCAGTGAATGGACTGGAGTAGCACACTCAAATGGGAAATATGTTGCCTCCAAAATCCAAAGAGGATCACCAGGCATATACCTCTTTCCTGGCTGTAGGAGGGACCAGATGCAACAAATTATCTTTCACCTTAGAAGGGATATCTCAACGTGCCCCACACCACTGGACCCCTAGACATTTCACTGAGGTGGAAGCCGCCTAAATTTTTTTTTCTTTCTTTTTTTTTCTGAGATGGGAGTTTCACTCTTGTTGCCCAGGCTGGAGTGCAATGGCTCACTGTAACCTCTGCCTTCCGCGTTCAAGTGATTCTACTGCCTCAGCCTCCCAAGTAGCTGGGATTACAGGCATGTGCCACTATGCCTGGCTAATTTTTGTATTTTTAGTAGAGATGGGGTTTCACCATGTTGGTTAGGCTGGTCTCGAACTCCTGACCTCAGGTAATCCACCCATCTTGGCCTCCCAAAGTGCTGGGATTACAGGCATGAACCACCCTGCCCGGCTGGCTCCTAAATTTTTGATGGATGCATTTCTCACCTTCTGGCCAAAAAATTCTTACTAGTAAGTCTAGGATAGTTGCTTGAACCAGGAACATTCTCTGTAGTATCCAGCACTGAGTAAGTGCAGAATAAGTATTCTTATTTTTAGCGATTGGTAAAGAAAGTGTGATGTGAGCATGTCTTTTGGAAGATGCACAGTCCAAGCAAGAATTCCAGTCCACCTGAAACTCCCTCCAGTACTTAACAGCATTCAAGTACCGTTCAAGTCAAATCTCATTAAAGTCCCTCGTCCCCTTTCTATTCTTTGGCACTTATAACTTTGGGAGACTGCAGCCCTCCTAGCCAAGAAGTGTTTTCCTTCATCTATGTTATCCTCCCTTTCCCACTGTCGCCTTTCTCTTTGGATTCTCAGCAACCTCTGTGCTGTTTCCCCAGGGTAACCTTCTCCCAGGGGTCGGCTCCTTCTGCATGTTCAGCCCATGAGGAGTATAGTTCTTTAACTGTTTTCCTCTTGAAGATCCACTTGCATGGAATTTCCCATTTTCTGTACTCAAAGCCACAAGGGACAGGGTAAGGCTAAGCTGGTAACTTTCTCTTGTTTGTGGAAAGGTGAGAGTGGAAGGAGGAAAGGATGTGATGCTCACGTTAAGATTTTTTGTGTAGTTACAAAAGCTATGAAGACACTGATAAAATTATGACGTTGATTATCACAAACGTGAAGGCAAACAAATGATGCCCTAAGGGAAATTTTTAGCAATGCCATTTGTCTAATAAGTTAAACATCTGAAAATTGCATTATTATTTTAACAATATAAAACTCCTTATTTATACACATTTTCAGCTTTTACTTGTGAATTAAAATTTTGAGAGAAAATAAAGATTGGCTGGGCGTGGTGGCTCATGCCTGTAATCCCAGCACTTTGGGAGGCCGAGGCAAGAGTATTGCTCGAGCCCAGGAGTTCGAGACCAGCCTAGGCAACATAATGAAACCTCATCTCTACAAAAAAATTACAAAAATTAGCCAAGTGTGGTGGCACGCACCTGTAGTCCCAGCTACTAGGGAGGCTGAGGTGGGAGGGTCCCTTGAGCCTGGGAAGTGGAGATTGCAGTGAGCCATGATTGTGCCATTGCACTCCAGCCTGAGCGACAGGAACACTGTCTAAAAAAAAAAAAGATTAATTAAAAAACTTATTTACTCATTTTTTTTACTTCTTTATTACCTGTGGAATGGAGATATGGGGAAAAATCAAGATTAATTGAAAATATCATAATTCAATTAAAACATGAATGGTAATATTTAAATAACAGTTGTATCAATGACAGCATTTTTTTTTTCAATTTTGGGGATATTTAAGTGACAAATTTTATCATGTATATAATTATAAAACCTCATCTTCTTCTCCAGCCAGGGTGCGAAGGGGCAGAAAGGCAGAGGCACAATTTCTACCATTTCTAAAATCTACCTTTTATTTTTGGTGCTATTTCCTCAATATAGGTGTGTTTGTGGGAGTGTGTCAGGCATGAGTACAGTGATGAGTACATGTAAACATGTTTCTTCCCTGAGGAGTTTACAGTCCAGTGAGGAGGCACGCATTAACCATACAATCACACAGATGGAAGTTGCATTTAAATATCAGTAAGTGCTACAAAGAATGGCATATGGCAATGTGTGAGCCTATATTGGGGGATGGAGAGGACAGGCATGTCCTGCCTGAGGAAATATTGTTCATGGAGCTGAAGTATGAAGGGTGAGTAGAAATTCATTCGGCAAACAAACTGGAAAGATTGGCTCAGCCAGAGGAAACAGAGACAGCTTCTGTGAAAACCACAAAGAAGTGCTCATATGGCTGGAGTAGAGAGCAGGGGGCCGTGTTAAGGATTTTGTCTTTATAGTAAAAAGTCATCAAAGTGTTTTAAGCATGGGGGTCACAAGAAGCTCACTTGGATGGAGGTCAGGGGCATGAGTGAAGCCAGGGAGATATGTTAGCAGGCTCTTGCTTTAGTTGAGATGACAAATAGTGGTAGCTGGGATATGGGTGGTGGCAGGAGTGATGGAGAGGAGTGCACAGATTTGAGAAATCCTTACAAGGATAAGCGGGTAAGTGGGTTGCTAAGGGGTTGGATATTGAGAGTGGTGTAAAAGAACTCTTGGGTTACTTGCTTCTGTAAAGGGGAAAAGATCATACATCCAGCTTTCATATTGAGGACACTTGAGGCATCTGAGATATAGAGTTCTGGTCTTGAGACATAAAATAGTGAGCAAAAGATACATTCATAGATATAAAATGAAGTCATAGGCCTGCATCAGATTACCTAGGGAGAGAGGAGCGCCCACATGTCATAGCCAGGAATGGGAGGGCAAGCTCATAGGGCAGAGTGCAAAGGAGCACCTGAGATGTGGAGGAAACCAGAAGAGCCATGGAAGAGGGAATGCGGAAGCAGGGAGGGAAAGCAGCCTCAGAGGCTGAGGACAAGGCAAGGAACTGAGTGCAGTAATTTTCAGTTGAATTTAATGGGATGAGTTGTGAGGGTTGAAACAGGACTGAGGTAGTTTGAAGAGGGAATAGGAGGTGAGGAAAGGAAGTCAACAAGGAATTAGGCAGCTCTTTGAAGAATTTTGTCTTCTGCATGGAGAGAAACGTAGGATTGAGGGAGTGTGTTTAAGGGATATGTTTTATGATCAAAAGGTGTCTGCCACATTCAGGTTGCTTGGAAAAGGTATCCTTCCCTGTTTACAATTTTCTTATTCATCTATTTCAGTTACATAAAAATTATCTAAAAAGGTAGTGTGCCTTCCACATCACTGACCATCATATAATAGTTTTAACTTCTCAGTAAAGACAGCACCACATCAGGACTGCAGTTGAATATTGTTATTAAAGCCCTCTTGAGAATACCTCATGGTATAAAGTTTCCAGGTGATTTTTCCTCAAGCTCCATCTTGTTAAGAGCAAAAAATAGTTTGAAATTCAGTATGGAGAATCCAAATCCATTTGAAAGTGATTTTTCAAAATATCAAAAACCCTAAAGATATATATTTTTAATAATTTTTAATTGAAATTTGTATTGAGATAATTGTAGATGTGCATATAGTTGGGAGGAATAATGAATACAGAGACATCCACATACTATTTATTTGGCTTACCTCAGCAGCAACATAGAGGCAAAACTATGGTATAATATTACAACCAGGATACAGACATTGATATAAACCACTTATTTAGATTTCCCTAGTTTTTAAGTTTTTATTCATTTATTTATTTTTTAGACAGTTTTCCTCTGTTGCCCAGGCTGGAGCACAGTGGCACAATCTCAGCTCACTGCATCCCCTGCCTCCCAGGTTCAAGCAATTCTCCTGCCTCAGCCTCCCAAGTAGCTGGGATTACAGGAGTGCACCACCATGTCCGGCTAGTTTTTGTATTTTTAGTAGAGATGGGGTTTCGCCGTGTTGTTCAGGCTGGTCTCGAACTCCTGACCTTAAGTAATCTGCCCGCCTCGGCCTCCCAAAATGCTGGGATTACAGGCATAAGCCACTGTGCATGGCCCAGATTTCCCTAGTTTTACTTGCATTTATTATGTGTGTGTGTGTGTGTGCGTGTGTATGAGTGTGCCTGTGTGTAGTTCTATACACCTTCCTCACAGGTGAAGTGTGTCCACTACCTCAGTCAAAAGTAATTTGATGAGAAAACAAGCTAACACTCTAAGTTTGCATAGTTGATAGTAAATTGTACTTGAATAGGTCGAAGAGCAACTCTAACTAATTTATTTGCCTCCTTTTTTTTTCTAGCCAGTAACTTGCTTTATTCTTGAAATCTGATAATTTCCAAATGTCAGGAGAGGCAGCATTGTAGGTCCCATCATGTAATGTCATTTGGAGGAGTGCTGAGCATGGACTCCAGCCAGATCGCCTGCACTCAGGTTCCAGCTCAATCCCTTACTCTCTGTATATGATCTCAGGCAGGTCATAAACACTCTCTGACTCAGTTTCCTCATCTGTAAAATGCAGATGATAATAGGACCCACCTCCTGAAGTTGTTCTGAGGATTAAATAGTATACTGTGTAACTGAGAACTGCCTCATTATTTTTACAGTTAATTCTTTCAAGACTATAATCTGTCTGTCAGTGAAAATTCCAGAAACAGACTCTAGGCTTTACCTTCTTCACTCTATGTAAAGCAAGACTTTCTCTTGACAGCGGGTCTGTGATAACTTTAGTGTATATTTAACTTTTGGTACAAATCGAAATATGGTGCTCTACATTTGACTCTCAAGGATGTATTGATTCATGAAATTCCATTTCAGAGCCATGATAAAAGCCTTAAAGGCAACCTCTTTAACCTTCAGATTTCTAATGTAAACTATTATGGATTAGACTTTTAAGTCTTATCTATTTCCTGAGAAATCTTATTGATTTATTAAGAGCTGACGCCACATATCTAACATAGGAGAGTTAGACTCATTATTGGAAAAGGAGAAGGTGAAGAGTTCTTTCTGACAGGAAAATGTAGATGAAATTATTTTAAAAAGTTCTCCAAGGAATATTCTCATCTTCTATAAATTCAGTAATGAAACTCTTTTTCTGATTGTACCCTGAGAGATTTTGAAGTCATTTTTCAGGGGTAGACAAATGCATTCTTATAATGAGGATTCTATCATCAGTTTTTGTTCTACTCGAGGGATGTTGGTGGCTCGACCAGAAGGGCAGGTGGCCTATACTTTCTTTCTTTCGTTTTTTTTTTTTTTTTTGACAGTGTCTTGCTCTATCACTCAGGCTGGAGCTCAGTGGCCTGATCACAGCTCACTGCAGCCTAGAACTCCTAGGCTCAAGTAATCCTCCCACTTCAGCCTCCCTAGTATCTGGGACCACAGGTACACAACACCACAGCCAGCTAATTATTTTCTATTTTTTGTAGAGACAGGGTCACACTATGTTGCCCACGCTAGTCTTGAACTCCTGGGCTCAAGTGATCCCCTCACCTTGGCCTCCCAAAGCACTGGGATCAAGTGTGAACCACCATGCCCGGCCTGGCCTATGCTTTCGTTGTAAGGGGAGGTGCACTTAGAACAACCAACTATTTGAGGCTTTTCTAGGAGGTGCTTGGAGGAGCAAGAAGAACGAATTATACGTTAAGAACAAAACAAAACAGTTTCCTTCGGTTACTTGCATAAGTGACCTGGGAAATTGCCTCCTTTGTTAAATGCCCTGAAGAAATTGATTTCCTGTTCAATAAGGTTAGTTTTCTCAGAGCATGAAGACAAGATTGATTTATGAATTAATTCATTCAGGAAATATTTATTTATGGAGGCTTTACTAGGTTCCAGACTCGATTCTAAGCCCTAAAGATAACACTGTGGGCCAATATCTCTGCCTTAAGGGAGCCAGTCTAGTGGGAGAGAAAGATAATGAAGAAGTAACAACTCATGGTGCATAGTGACAAATGTATGAGTAGAATTAAAGCAGGGTGAGGAGACGGAGTGACAGCCATTGCTCTTTCAGATAAGGTGGTCAGGAAGGCCTGTCTAAAGAGGTAACCATTGGTCCAAGACCTGAGTGTGGTGAGGTGCCAGCTGCCATGCCCAACTGTGTGGGACCAGTCGTCTAGGTAGAAAAGACAGCAAGTAAAGCGCAAACACTCTGAGGTGGTAGCCTGCTGGCTGGGTTTGCAGAACTCCAGGAGGGCACTGTGGCTGGAGCTAAATGAGGAATGAACGGGGCGCGTGGAAGAGATGTGGAGAGATGGTCAGGGGCCAGCCAATATGAGGCCTGCCTTGTAGGCCACAGCAACAACTTTGCATCTTATCCTGAGTGTGGAGGAAAGTGAGTGAAGGCTTTTGAAACCAGCAAAGTGACATGATCTGATTTATCCTTTGAGAAGATCACCTGGAGCTGTGTGGTGGGATGGTGTTGTGAGGGTGGTGCTGGGGGTGATACAGCATGATTCCAAGCAGGGAGAGCCGTGAAGAGGCTGTTGCAGTAATGCAGGTGCAAGGTGGTGCTGGCTCAGCCCAGGGTGGTAGAAGTGGAGGTGGAAGTGGGGAGAAGAAATCAGATTCAGGATATGTTCTCATTGTGGAGAAGACAAGATTGGCTGATGAACTGGATGAGGGCAATGCCAGACAGACTGTCTGTGTGAATTTTGGCCTGAGTAATAGGGTGAATGAAAATGCAGGCACCTGGGGGAAGAGGTTTAGGGGAAGAAGTTTGGAGTTGATTTGGGGGTATGTTAATTTTGAGATACCTAAAAAATATCCAAGTGAGATAACAGCTAGGCATACATTGTTGGATATATACATCTGAATATATATCAGAATTGGATATACAATTCTGAAATTCAGAAGAGGTTTGAGTTGGAGATATGAATTTGAGGGTCATCAGCTAGCAGATGGTATCAAAACCATTAGTTTGGGCCCCACCACCAGTGCGTTGAATGTAAATAGGAAAGAGGCCCATGGGCTGGGCCATGCAGAAGTCCATCCCAAAACAGAAGGAGGAAGCAAGGAGGCTGAGAAAAAGCAGCTGGGCAGGGAGGAGAGGAATCAGGAGAACACTGGATCCTGGAAGCAAAGAGAATGAAATGTTTTCAAGAATCAGCAAGTGATCAATTCTGTCAAATGAAAGCTGGATACAAATGAGGGCTAAGAATGGGCCACAAGCAGTGAGCAGCTCATTGGTGATCTTGACAAGCAGTTTTAATGGAGTGGAATATAAAGAGAAGAAGACACTCCTCACTTTCCATGATTCATTTGGATAGCAGAATGGGGAGGGTGGTGTAGCTGGAGAACTGTGTGGTCTCAGTGGAGATTTTTTGAGAACTAACAGCATGTTGTATACTGAAAGAATGATCCTGAGAAAGGGAACAATTGATGATGCCTATGATATGTAATAATTGCAGGTGCAGAGTCCTGGAGTAGGTGAGATGGGATGGGGCCCAGAGCCCTAGTGGAGAGGGTACAATTAATCCATTTCTATGGGAAAGGTGTAGTCTGTGGGTATGTTTGCAGTGGGGATGGTAGTTTGTGGGTGGGAAAATATGGAAGTTCTCTTCTGGTTACCTTTTGTGTTCTCAGGGAAATAAGAGAAACAGGATTGACAGTCATCTCAGAGTGCAGGTGGTAGAGGGAATAGAGCCTTTTGAAGAGAGAGCATTCCACAATGTGTATGTGAGAATGAAAATGTCCACTCAGGAGAGAAATTTATTTTACCACAGCCTTGAGTGGTAATTTATTTTATTTTCCAGGTAGCTTCGATTGTCACTTGAGGTTGTGTTAGTAAGTTTTAAGGGAGATGAGCCAGTGTAACTGTTTTTTTGTTTAGCCGTATTGGTCTAGAGAAATATCTAATAGGTGAAGAGTTGGGTTTAACTAACTTAGGAGCGATGGAAGTAAGGGTTTGGGCATGGGGGTGACTTTAACAGTGGACCATGGAATTTAAATAATATAAGAAGGAAGTGAGGGCATGAGGCGGTGGTGGTTGTTGGAGGTGGTTGGAGTGGATACTGGAGTGAGTAGGCTGGACAGAGGGGAGGAGGTGGTCAAAGAAAGGGAAAGTTGAGTTTGGGGTGTTTGTAGATGGTGCAGTTATTGGCATTCATGATGACAGGGCATGAGCAGAGGGGTGTGTGTCTGAGGAGGACTGGGAGACAGGAGTTTTTTGCATGAGGAGGGCATGGACCTTGGCACCAGGGTTCTGGATGAGTTATCTATGCAGATAAGAAAACTAGTGACCAAGAGAAAGACAGGGAACCATAGCAAAATCTTCTAACAATAAGTGGGGAATCCTCAGGAATACAGTAGATAATTATAAGGAGAGGTAGCTTGTGTCTCTGATGACATGTGCCTTAAAGGGATTATGGATTCCAAGAAGGAGGAAAGAGAAATAGCTTGGAAGCAGCAAAGAGGATATACACCTCTCTTCCAGCCCACTGGCAGTAGGGATGTGGGGGAAAAATAACAGCTGCTACACAAGAAGGTGTCAACGTAAGCAATGTCCTGGTGTGTGTGTGTGTGTGTGTGGGGGGGGGGGGGTGTCCACTTTTCAGTGACAGCAAAAAAGTGAAGAGAATATTCAGAGAAGAGGGTGAGAACATAGGGGATTTTCCTGAGGTCATAGACCTGGATTATTCAAGGTACAGTCAAGGGGTTTGGGGGACTCAGGAAGGGCATGTTTGAGTCAGTTACAGGATATACAGAGCCATGTAGGGTAAGAGAGTCTAGGGATTGAGACTCTACATTTTTATGGGAATTGAGGTCAACAAGGTGGAGGAATGATAGTAAGGTCTGCCCTGAAAGTCACGTAGGGGAGACAGATGATCAGAAGATTGTAGCCTCCTTGGGATGACTCATTTAGGCAGTAAAATGGGGCACCATGAGTTAGGAAGGATAAGTGGTGGTCTGACTGGGAGCAAGTTGAATTCTGTGTACCTGCCCACTAAATTTTGTCACCAGCGGTAACAAGGCTGAAAGGTCACCCAGATGACGATGATATAATGATGTTTGGAGTAGGGGATGAGTATGGTATATTTGATGAGGTTATGAAGGAGACTTTGGTTTAGTGGTAAACAAAATTTACCCATTGACTTACCCAATGGTTATTGAAGATAGAGGCAAAACAAAGCTCAGTTCTTCCCAGTGATATCACTCACCAGAATATTACCTGGATGCAATCGACTGTGGCCCCGGTTTATGTCTTTTTCCCTCCTCAAACCTTTCAACCACAAGAGCTTATTGGTCATATGTGTACATTTATGTTTATTAATAAATAGCTGTTTTTATAAAACAAGAAGTGCTTTATAAACACTGAGACTTTCAAGTTAAAAAAAAAGCCTAATAAATGGTGACGTAGCTCATTCAGTACAAATTTAATAGTTTTAAACTATATTAAATTGAGTTTTGCTAACTGATAAATGTTGTGTTATAGTTTTTTTTTTTAATTCAGGGAAAGAATGTTCTGGTACAAGAGGAGTTTTCACAATGAAAATAGGAAAAAACTTTTCTGAAAAACTTTTATTTATGTTATCCTATTTGCCAGCAATCATCACTGCAAATACAAAGAGCTTTACCAATTTTCAGTTTACTTTTATTTTATGACAAATATTTTGCATACTGTGTGCTTTTAAAAAATAGACTTTACATGTATTTGATTTAAGAAGGTTGGGGAAAAAGAACATTATTTACTGTGTTTAATTAATTCATGAACTGTGTAATCCCTTTGCTTCCCAAAATGCTGATTCAGAATGTTATCTTTTTTGCTCTCAAAGACTCAACAGGTTGCTACAGTTGATGCAGAAATCTTTTGAACATACTGTATTATCATATTGAAGATATTTTGGCTACAGTTTTAAAATATGACCAAACCAATTTCCATTTAGCTTTTAAGTCAATGAGGCTTTCCGTTCTATTTTAGTACATGATTCCAGCAAAGACTTTGCATCCTTTCTTTTAACAACAATCTAATATCAAAGGACTGTCAGTGCTGTGACTCTGCTTTATTTTTGCCCATGCCAGCAAAAGTTTGAGTCATTTTTCTAAAATGCTGGCAAAGTTCAAAGAGACGTCATAGTAACTCTCAACTTACTGGTGAGATATATGTGTATGCCTTTTGCACATTATAACTCCAGGCATCCTGTATTTTCTCTAATGACATATGGAGTAATAAACATGTGAAAGACATTATTTGGTGAAACTGAAAGAGTCTGAGTTATGTGGCAAGGAGTGTAGGGTTCAATTGTGATTTTTTTAAATGCCTCTCTTTATATCTTCTTTAATACTGTGTTCTTTGGTCTTACAACTTCTTAGCCTGTAGGGATAAGAAGGGTACAACATAACATTTTTTCTGTGTAAGAAACACAATGGCTTATGATTTTGATGTCTCATTAAAATAGAATACAGATATACTCATCTTTCTTAGAATTTCATTTTGGTCTATGAATTGTTAGCAGGGGCAAAACTTGGTTTGGGGAAATAAAAAAAAATTATGACAATGGTTTTTGGCCCTCCAAAGGGTCATGGTACATGAATAGCTATACATGTATATTATAGTCTGTAATATTAAAATTTCATGCGGGCAATTAGGAAAAAATGCCCAAAAAAGGCTCTTTTGAGGGACAATAATTTCAAAACAAGGTTGAGAATCGCTGATAGAAGAATAGAAGATCAGCACCACAATAAAATGTGAGCCACCAGCACAGTGGGACTATAGACAGATTTTGAACATAAATTCCAATTGTGCATTGCAAGTACAGTTTCATTTGTTTGCTAACCATCAATCGTACACTTTTTTAGTACATCAGCCTCTTTATAACTCATGCTAGGCCGTGTATGCCAGGGTTCTAAGGCAGGGCACTGGCTCCATCAGCTTCGTCTCACTCTAGTCCTTTCCTCCAGGAGCTGTCTTTTGAGGGAAATGAGATAAGGAAAGTGAAGCACTTGGCACGGAGCATTCTGTGAGTACAAGTGTAGACAGATGTGGGATCACAGAGGAAGAATAGTTAACTTTGCCAGAAGGTGGTTAGGAAAGAATTCAATAAATAGATGACTTTGGACCAAGGAGTTTGCAAAATTGAATGGGAAAACAACCACATCTTTATTATCAATTAACCACATCTAAAATTTACTGTTTCCTTTAATTACAATGTGGCAAACCTCAGTAGTATTAGCAGGACCTGGATTTTGTCAACAGTAGAAATACTAGCTATTTTCGTAGAGCATTATGGTTGTTGCAGATATCTTGAAATATTGTTTGTGGTCATAACTACTTTGAAATTATAATAGTTACTAGATACACCTCTGGATTTTGTTACTTAACATTTTGTTAATAAAGCACATATTTTGTAAAGCTCAGATTTAACTATATAAAATGAAAAAATTCTGTTGACAAGGGACAGCACAAAGTTAAAAAGAAAATGACAGTATGGAATGCATATATAACAGACAAGAAATCCATATTCATAATAAAATAGAGCTCCTTGAGCAGATTCATGGGATTAAGGAGAAAATTCATAGCTTATCAAAGAGGAGCTAGGAAAAGACAGACTGTAGGAGAAAATATTGATATAGCCAATGCAAATATAAATATCTTCCTCAGTTCTTCAGTGTAATATTAACTAAAAAACAAGTATTTCATAACATTTTGGCAAATTGCCAAAAATTAAGAGTGAAAATGTAAAATATAAACGGTATGGGAAAATGGACTTTTTCAGAATGTTGGCACAGGTGGTAAATCCTTCTTTCAGGGCAATTTGATAGTAGCTTTCAATTTCTTAAAATGCTCATATGTTGACCCAGAACTCCCATCTTTATAAATCTCACCTACAAAAATACTGGCATAAATATGTATATAAATCTATGTATATGTATGTTTGGTGAAGTAGTGCTTTCAGTGTGAAAAGCCTCTGGTGACTTAAATGTCCATTAGTAGGGAAATGTATTAAATGTATTGTCAAATTCTTATAATAGCATAATATGCAACTACAGGTATAGCCATATCTATGCACCTGGAAACTTTTCTAAGACAACACTTCTGTATGAAAAGTCATAAAGAAAATACATAGTACAATCTTGTTTATGCAAAACATAACAAAGCCACAAACTCAACAATAGTTAAGGGGCATGGAAAATTGTCTTGATGGACATGAGCCCAACTCTTTATAGATGTCCCCTTTGGTGGGAAGAGTGAGGGTTTGTAGGATTAATGACCAGAGTGTTTGGTTTTACTCTTCTGTAATGTTTTGTAATGACTTTGTATTCATGTATTGCTGCATAATTAAGTAAAAGGAAAAAAATTTAAAAATGATTACATCTGCTATAACAACAGAAATATAGACAACTTAGGAATAAAGCGACTAGGAAATGTGCAGGACTTTTGGAAAGAGAACTATTAAATTTTATGGAGGTACATAAAAGAAGACCTGAATAAATGGAGAGTTGTAACATGTTCGTGAATTGAATGATTCAATATAAGTTTACCGATGTTAGCGCAAATCTAGTCAAAACCCATGGGAAATTAAACTTGGCAAGATTATCCTAAAGTTCTGCAAGAACAAAAAATGTAGGTGAGAATAACCAAGAAAATCTTGAAAAAGAATTGTAAGAGTATGCCTGTACAACCAGATATTAAAGCTACCCTAAAATTAAAGTAATGAAAATAGCGAACTGTTGGCTCATGATTAGACAAGAAGATCCACTTAACAGAATGGAAAGCCAGAAATTAGTGGCCTGGCCTCTACAGTCTCTTGGGCATCGCTTGCCATTGTCCTACTAGAGATTCACATTTAGCCTTCCAAGCTCTTTATTATCACTCAAAATGGGCCAGACTCAGCCCTGTCTCCTTTGCACTTTTCACCATACCTTGTGCCATTTCAGTGTTTGGTATTAGGTAGGGCAGGCAGAGGATGACCATTTGATTAGGTTTACCTGGCAAGATGATTTTAGGGGCAAATGTCTTGTTACTCTAACCTCCTTAAGGAGGGTGACTGACAGTGAGGAAGTATACAGGGGGACTGAGAGGAGTAATTTCATTTATTTATTTTTATTTTATTAACTTTTTTTTAGGAGACAGGTTCTCACTATGTTGCCCAGGCTGGTCTCGAACTCCTGGGCTCAAGTGGTCCTCCTGCCTTGGCCTTCCGAAGTGTTGGGATTACAGGCATGAGCCATCATGCCCAGTTAGGGGGTAATTTTAGAAATAATACTCAAATCTCTACTGTATAACTGTTTAGCCTCTAAGAAAAAAGAATTTTTGGAATAGTGTGTTTCTATGTAGGAGACTAAAGAATACTTTTTCAGTTTTCCTTATATATAATGATTTAAAAACATATTATTTTAGAGAAAAGTTGAAAGAGGTACTGTAAGTCAGTCAAGGAAGAACAAAGTAAGCCAGATTCAACGAATATGTTACTCAAAATCAAAGTTTATTTGCAGGAATGGAAAAAATGTCAGGGGCCATAGCACAAATTGGTTGTATAGATTCTAAAAGATTTCCCCTCCAAAGAAACCTATAAAATACATATAGTATTTATATTGCTTGATTAAAAACATAAACCCAATAAGCAAAGGTCTTTGTTTTGTTGAATTACCTGATTTTGGAGTAATCTAGGGAGTTCTCTCTACCCAAAGAAAGCCTAGATTGGGCTTGTTTTGTTTTAGGCTTTCAGTAGTCGCTGCCTTCCCTTCCCTGTCACTGAATTTATGTTTCCCATCCTTTTTTCATCATGAGAGTGGTTAGTGGTAGGAGTGAGATGGCCAAGTTTTGGACGTTTATTGATGGAAGCAGTGGTTCTCATTTTATTGTGCAAAGGAGTCACTTGGAGGTGTCTCCTTAAAGTACAGATTCTGATTTAATAGTTCAGGAGTGGGACCTGAGATTCTGCATTTTTAATAAGCTCCTGGGTGAACTGTCTAAGGCTGGTCTAGGGCTCACACTTTGAGTAGCAAGGGGCTAAACTGAAAAGGAGCCAAGGAGGCCTAACTTGAATGCAGGAACTAAATCAGCACTGTCCGGAAGAAATGTAGTGTGAGCCACCGATGTGAGCCAGATACATGATTTAAAATTTTCCAGTACCCACACCAAAAGAAGGAAGAGGAAACAGATGAAATTAATTGTAATACTATATGTTATTTAAAGAATATATCCCAAATCTTATTATTTCAACATGTAATCGATGGAAGACATTATTGAGATATTTTACATACTTTGTTTTCAAATTAAGTTTTGAAATCCCCTGTGTATTTTATACTTACAATATACCTCCATGTGCATTGTAATACAGCCACATTTCAAGCACTTAGTAACCAAGTGTGGCTACTAGCTACCATATTGAACCATAAAACAGTAAAAGAATCCTTTCTGATTTATACAAATTTTAGCCCAAATAAAAATCTGGACATGCTGGTTCCTACTTCATGTATACGAGCCAAATACATGTTTACAGTATATGTTTATTGTATATGTATATATCACATCACATACTCCAAAATAAATTTCTGGATAAAGGATTTTTAAATAAACCATACAGTAATGTGGTTGAAATATAGGTGACACATTTTCTGATATTGAGAGTATCACGAGGTATTTTTTAACATGAAAACACAGGGAAAAGCAGTAATAAAAGAAAATAATAGCTTTTCATGCAGTCAAATCTAACATTTAATTAATCAGAAACACTGCATCCCAAATTAGAAATCAAGCAATCATGATGGAAAAAAGTACTTACAACATATAGTATAGATAATAAGCTATAAAGAGCTACTTAATATTTTTAAGAAAAATGGGCAGTGTAAGTGATATAATAATTTGTTGAAAGACACACAAAGGACCAATACAATTTTAAAAATTCAGCCTTATTATTGATAAAAACATTAAAACTAGGAGTGAGATTTATCAATTGAGCATTACTGTGGGAAAAATAACATGAAGGTAGAGGGCAGGTTAGTTCAGTCTTTGGGGAACCCCCTGACAGGATTTCCCTACAGAGAGCAGTAAAGAAGGTTATGCTTTGACCCAGCATTGTTTCTACTTTGGGGAATTTAGCAAAAGAAGCAGAGAGGTTTACAAAGTTTGTGAATAAGGATGTTTATCACGATGTTATATATGATTATATTGTATGCCTTCAACACTTAGCTATCCTACTTTCCACTCTGCCTTGACCTTCACTTTTTGCTGTCACTGAGCCTATTTCAGGTTTCTCATCAAGCTCAGACTCAAATAATACTGGCACTAACAACAAGATAAATTTTTGCAGCTTGCATTTAACATTTGTGTAACAAGTCCTCTATAAAACCTTCAGATGCTAATCTAGTTTATTGGTTTTAATTTTTGGTAGCTGGTAGGTACAATTTGGATTATTTTGTTAGGAGGTAAATGAGAGGATATAAAATCTGTACCCTTTTTTTATTGGCCAGAGGTATTCATTATTTCTAAAGTAATATTAGTCTTACAATTTCTGTAATTTTTTTTTTTTTTGAGATGGAGTCTCACTCTGTTGCCCAGGCTGGAGTGCAGTGGTGCAATCTGGGCTCACTGCAAGCTCTGCCTCCCGGGTTCACACCATTCTCCTGCCTCAGCCTCCCGAGTAGCTGGGACTACAGGCACCCACCACCATACCCAGCTAATTTTTTTGCATTTTAGTAGAGTTGGGGTTTCACCGTGTAACACAGGATGGTCTCGATCTCCTGACCTCGTGATCTGCCTGCCTCGGCCTCCCAAAGTGCTGGGATTACAGGCATGAGCCACCGCGCCCAGCCATAATTTCTGTAATTTTTAAATGTTATCTGGCATAGTAACTGTGATGACTGAGAATTTGCTGATCAATCTTAAAAAGTTAGCTTTGTTTTTGCTTCTAATAAGTTTTATAATTTTTTTAGAATTGTTTTAGATTTACAGAAGAATTGCAAGGATAGTACAGATTCTCTGTGTACCCCTCATCTAGTTTTCCCTATTGTTAACCTCGTATATTTCCATGGTGCATTTGTCAAAACAAAGAAACAAACCTTGGTGCATTACTATGGATTGAACTCCATTCTTAATATCCCTAGTTTTCCCTCTTGTCCTTTCTCCATTGCGAGATCCCATTCAGGACACCACGTTACCTTTATGCAGCATGTCTCCCTGGGTTCCTCTGGTCTGTGACAGTTTCCCAGACTTTCCTTGGTTTTGATGACTTTGGTAGTTTTGATGATTACTCATCAGGTATTTTGTAAAATGTCCCTTAATTTGGGGTTTGTCCTACATTTTTCTCAGGATTTGACTGGGCTGATAAATTATGGGGAAAGAAGACCACAGAGGTAAAATACCATTTTCATCACATCATATCAGAAGTACATGCTATCAACATGGCTTATCACTGATAATGTTAACTCACTTTTTAACCTTACAATTTTTATTGGGAAGCACATTATCTTCATAAGAGTACACAGAATACATATAGGTACAGGTTAGTTATAATAAAAAAAACACTCATGTACCCTTTACCCAGCTTAAGAAACCAACACCTTGGAAATTTTCTGTATTCCACCTTTATAGCTATAAGCTATAATTCTAAATTTTGTATTAATCTTTCTCATCAAATTTACTACTTCAATATGTATAATTTAAACAATATATTGTATTATTTTTGCCAGTGACTTATTTTTTTTCTGAGACAGGGTCTCACTCTCTCACCCAAACTATAGTGCTGTGGCACAATCACACCTCACTGCAATATCCACCTCCCAGGCTCAAGCGATCCTCCCACCTCAGCCCCGCAAGGAGCTGGGGCTATAGGTGCACACCTCCATGCTTGGCTATATTTTTAAAATTTTCTGTAGTGACAGGGTCTTACTCTATTGTCCAGGTTGGTCTCAAGCAATCATCTCCCCTCAGCCTCCCAAAGTATTGGGATTACAGGCATGAGCCATCATGCCCAGCCCATTATTTGCCAGTTTTTGAATTTCATGTAAACATATAATTTTGTATGTATTCTCTGTAACTTGATTTATTTTGCTCAGTTTTACTTCATGACGTTTATCCATGTCTATGACTGATATTTGGATTGACTATCTTCATCTATCATCATATGCACTTTCTCTTTGTCAAGATTTTTGTGTTTCTTTTTTCCTTTTTTCTTTTGCTTTCTGCATTGGTCAAGGTTCTGGCATGAAACTGATGAACTCTGAAACTGGGTAATTTGGCAATTTGTAGATTGTTGTTTAGTGACTATATATGAAGGCATGGACAAAGTGTAGGAAAACCACAAGAGATAGAAGGTGGCCTGGAGCCAGTGAGAGCAGCGAGGCCACTGCAGGAGCCTAGTGAGAGGAGTGCGTTAGTTGCCTAGGGCTATGCAACAAATTATCACAAACTGAGTGGCTTAAAACAACGGGTACTGGCCTGGCGCAGTGATTCATGCCTGTAATCCCAGCACTTTGGGAGGCTGAGGCAGGCAGATCAAGAGGTCAAGAGATCATAGACCATCCTGGCCAACATGGTGAAACCTCATCTCTACTAAAAATACATAAATTAGCCGGGCATGGTGGCGCACGCCTGTAGGCCCAGCTACTTGGGAGGCTGAGTCAGAAGAATCACTTGAACACGGGAAGCAGAGGTTGCAGTGAGCGGAGATCACGCCACTGCACTCCAGCCTAGCGACAGAGCAAGACTCTGTCTCAAAAAAAAAAAAAAAAAAGGAAAAAAAAAAAACTAGTTATTTGTTTTCTCACAGTTTTGGAGATGAGAAGTCCGAAATGAATGTACTTGGCAGGGCCATGGTCCCTCTGAAGGCTCCAAGGTTGAGCTCTTCCTCATTTCCTCCAAGCTTCTGGGGACTCTCAGTAATCCTTCCTCCCTCCTTGGCTTGTGGCTGCATCATTCCAAACTGCCTCCATTGTCACATGGCCTGTTTCCTCTCTGGTTCTGTAACTGAAGTCCCTTTTCTTCTCTTTTTATAAATAAAAATTCAGTCATTGGGTTTAGGGTCCGCCTAATCCAATATGTCCTCTTCTTAACCCTATTATATCTGCAAAGAGCCTATTTTCAAATAAAGTTTCACTCACAGGTACCGGAGTTTATGATTTGAACACATCTTTTTGCAGGACATGATTCAACCCACTGAGGAAGGTAGCAGTTACTGGAACCAGGTGTATATATATAGAGAGAGAGATCTGTAGACCCTTCCCTCTAGAAGCTGAAGGCCCTGTAAAATGGAGCTAGGGAGTAGACACCCTGCTTTCCCTCCCTTTCTTCTCTCTGCTTTCTTATCCTTTCTCCTATTGGATGGCTGAGCTCACTCCAGAAGCAAAGGAACCTCAGTCTGTGGTCCATGCAAGATTAGGCTTGAAGGGCACAGATCCTAGTGGAGAAGGGTTAGGACTGGATCTGGGGCACAGCTGTTGGATTGATTGAGATTTTCTGTCTTTTTCTCATCTTTTTTTTTTTCATTCTATTACTCCATTATCCTGAAAATTTTATTATTTGTGCCTATTCTTTTAGTGTTCACCTGGCCTATTTTAACATGCGTATTTAACTTAAAGTCTAAAACAAATTAGGACCTTTACTCTCTTACTGAACAATGTAAGACCTTTAACTCCTATTATTTCCTCCCAACTTATATGTCATCATGGTTTATTTGAAATAGTTGTTATTACAACACAACTTTTGCCTGATAAAGAAAATGAGGCACTGAAAGTTATGTGGCTTGTTTTAAGACAACCAGCACACCACTGAGTTTTTATTTTAATTTTTTAAAATTAAATTGACAAATCATAGTTGTAGATAAGCTGAGAGTCTTTAGCATTATTGCATGCCTGACTCTAGGAATATAAAGATAAGATATAATCCATGTTGCAGCCTCCAGGAGAATATGTAAAAAGATGGACTATTCAAGTTGCTCTTTAGACAAAATAGCTAACATCATCTTTTTAAAATGATTTGTTTTATGATCTCTTAGAACTTCATGCTAATTATTTTGCACACAGTATTTGTTCAAAACATTTCCCATAGTCGAGAGATAGTAAGGGTGGTTGTATTAACTTCTGACAAAGTGGCACAGGTGGTTTATACCTTGATGCATTCCCTTCTTTATAAACAAATAACAATGGCAGGTAAATATTAAAATATGAAACAAAAATATGTATCCAGGCTTCAAATGAACACCTTCCTCTCTGTGGAATACAAATAGGACAGAAATTTTTTAAATGTTCATTGGAACCAAAGCCTTAGGCTTATTGGGCATTCGGCTTGGGATGGTCTGAAAGCAGAAAGTGATGGCTAAGAATTCAGCTTCTGTATGTAAAGAAGGCTGAAGGCCCATGGAGTCTGGGAACTTAGAGCCAGGTGACCAAAAACTGATTCAGGCCATCTGTGGGCTTTGAGGCTAGAATCATGATATCCCTATGTCCTCATGGGACAAGAATCCTGAAACGCCATTACAAGTCCTGGAAGAGATTTAACTGGGACTGATGTTATTATCTGCATAGAGAATTCCGAGAAAATATATCAACTAATTATAAGATGATTTTTACAATATATAAGATTAACATAAAAACTCAGGAGTATTCCTATATACAATAATATAAGGAATAAGAAAATATAAAAGAAGATGACTAGGAATATATCTAACAAAAGATGTGTGATATATCTAACAATATATATATAAGTATCTAAAAAAGAGAAAAGTATATGTTAGTGCTGAATGATACTGGTATGTTGAACCAGTACTACCGCTTATGATATAAGTTTTATGTTTTCTTTATGAAATAAGTTTTATGATTTCTTTAAGTCATACACACTGCCTTGTTTCAGTAAACAGGATCCCCACCCTCCTGTAATTGTCCAAACTTAGAAAATTTAGTGTTAAATCTCCCCCCGCCTGCATCCAAGCTGAGGTCTGTTCACTCTAGTTTTCAATATTGTAAAGATGCTAATGCTGCCCTAAACTGATCTTTAGATGCAATGCAATCCCAAGAAAAATCTCAGCAGATTTTTTTGGGTAGAATTTGACAAGCTGATTCTAAAATACACATAAACATGTAGACAGCTAAGAATAATTGAGATGTTTGAAAGAAGGACAAGGTGAGGAGACTTGAGCTACCAGATAAGAAGGCTAATAATAAAAGCATAGCAATTAAGATAGGGCATTGCTGGTGTGGGAATAGACAGATCAATCAATGGAACAGAAGAGAGCCCAGAAGCACTTGCACGTGTGGACACTTGATTTATTTCAGAAGTGGCTCTGCAGGGCCACAGGGTAGGATGGTCTTTTGTAAAAAATGGTGCTGGAACAACTGGGAATTTAGAGTGAAAAGATGAAATTGAATCCCCAAAAGCAATGTACTAGATGATCCTGAAATTGAATTCCTATAAGTAATTGTTTTAGATAAGTGGGGGATGGATACATTTTGAAGAAGATTGATAGATGCTACACCACACAACTCATGCTTAGAATTTAAAAGATACATAATTCAGACTTTTGCTGTGAGAACAGGTCCAAGAATTCTACAGCATTGTCTGCTCTACGGAAGAGACTCCTTTTGGAGTTAACTCTTCATCCAGGGGAATTATTTCCCACGTTCCCCAGGGAGGATCCTGTGGGGTCATATTTTAATTTTATCCTGCCTTGGGTCTCCATATGCCTGACTAGAATCCCTAGGGCACATGGAAACAGACTCATGTTCCTGGGGAGTGCTTTTGGATTTTTGATGCTGCCCAGGCTTGAAATGAATGCCTTTTTCTAGTTTTCTCTTTTGATCTTAGCCTGTCAGAAGTTCTCAGTTGGACTCTGAAAACTTTTCATGGCTGTAGGGTATGGCCTAATATTTCAGTGGCATAAATATGGCTGGTTGAAAAAAGAGCATTTTATGAACTGACATGACAACAGGTTTTAGACTCACATTTGTGTCATCTGCAAGCATGCTATGCCATTCTTTTCTACTTATGGAATATTTCACATGTATGCCTCTTGCCTCTTCACTTAGGTCCCAAAGTGCTAAGGACAGAGATCATGGCTTATTTAGGAGACACCTACATTACTCTTGTCATCCCACTATCATAATCACCCCCAACATTCATGGTTACTAGGTGTCAAGCCCTGTGGTAAGCCCTTTATATTATCTCATTTATTCGTACACCACCATGACATGGGTTAATGTTATGACCCATATTTTGCAGATGTGGAAACTGAGGCACAGTGTGTGAGTGGCTTGCATACGATTACACAGCTAGTAAGGAGGAGAGCTAGGGGAAAAGCCCAGCAGGGATTTATTCCAGAGTCGTGGCTACTCACTACTGGATGATGCTTGTTATACACAGGAGACATTGATGACAGAAGAGAAGTTTTGAAATTTTGAAATTATATGACAATGGAAACAGACCATATCTAATAGAAAAAAAAAAACTTATGGGAAGGATATTGGGTAACTTTAAAAAATTGATCTAAAATCTAGAAAATGAGAATAAGGGTTTGGGCAGAAACTGGGAGAGCTGGGTCAGATGGCCAAGATGGTCTAAGAAATGTGCTGCCGCTGGGTGCTGCTGCTGAGGCTGAGTTCTACGCTGCCTCCTTTTCCATGTGTCCTTTCCTCACAAATCTAAGTTTTTGTGTGGAAACATTTTGTTTGGTTAAGCCTAGGACACCTGTCTGCAGTCTATCTGCCAAGAATGAGGAGAGGGAGTATCTGGCCTCCTCTGGCTTTTGAAGTGAGAAGTAGGACTTGGCGTCCCATCAAAACACATGCACTGAGGATGTCCCCCACAAAAGGAAGGAAAGAGGGGGAGTAGGTGTCAAGCAGCCAAAAAAATGATGAACAGTCATTTCGGCTCTCCAATTTGCTGTCATGTGTTCATCCCGAAGCACCAGTTCTGTCTACCAAAAGTGGCCCAATAGGCACTCACATTCTATGCCAGCAAATAGGAGAGCTGTATGCATAAGCCAGATTAGAGACATTAAACGATATCCCCTCATAGTTGCATAGGACATAACTGACCCAGTTTATAAACCATCGCCAGGTTGTACTCTTGCTTTTGAAGATTTCTTTGTGTGTTTATAACCATTATCAAATATTCTGCTAAAACCCTGAACTTAATTTCATTCATCTCCTTTTTTTTTTAAACTTACCCCTTCTTTTGATTCTCTATCAGTAGCTTTGCCTTTTTACCCACTTTCCTTTTTTTTCTTTGAGATGGAGTCTCGCTCTGTCACCCAGGGCCCAGGCTGAAGTGCAGTGGTGCGATCTCAGCTCTCTGCAACCTCCACCTCCTGGGTTCAAGTGATTCTCCTGCCTCAGCCTCTTGAGTAGCTGGGATTACAGGCACGTGCCACCATGCCTGGCTATTTTTTTTGTATTTTTAGTAGAGACGGTGTTTCACCATGTTGGTCAGGCTGGTCTTGAACTACTGACCTCAAATGATCCACCCGCCTTGCCCTTCCAAAGTGCTAGGATTACAGTATCCACTTTCCTTTTTTTCATTTTCATTGGCCTCAACAACCACATATTTACCAAACCTCAGCAGTTATGTTTTGTTTCTTTGTTCTTGTTTTTGTTTTTATTAGACAGGGTCTCACTTTGTTACCCAAGCTGGAGTGCAGTGGTACGATCATAGCTCACTGCAGCCTCGAACTCCTAGACTGAAGCAATCCTCCTGCCTCTGCCTCCTGAGTAGATGAAATCACAGGCACATACCACCACGCCTGGCTAATTTTTATTTTTGTAGAGATGGGGGGTCTCACTGTGTTACCCAAGCTGGTCTTGAACTCTTGGCCTCAAACAATCCTCCCGCCTCAACTTCCAAAGTTCTGGGATTATAAGCATGAGCCATTCTGCCTGGCCAGTGTTTTTTCGCACCTAGAATTGGCCCTGTCTTTTTATTTTCACCCTTGTTATTTTTTTGTATGACTTGCTTTATATCTACTAGATTTCATATCTCCAATGTGTCTCTCTTCCAGTCTGCCTTTCCTTTTTCTACCAAATTAAGTTACTCTGAAGCTCAGCTCCAGTTCTATGACTCTCTTGCTCTTCACTATTCAATGGCTGTAGCCTCCTGAGTTTGAGTTCAAAGAACCACATGGCATGGCTCCAGACCGCATCTCCAGACTGCCTTCATATGCACTTCTCTCCAGCTGAACTGTGAATGAATAATCTATACCTTGTTTGCTCTCAATGTATAGAGCAGTTGATTTTGTTGATTGTTTCTACTATTTATTTCAATCACAACATTCCTATGTGACAAAGTTTTATATTTTCCGTTTTACAGATAGAGAGAGAGGTAGTTAACATTATGGGCTTTTCCCCAGGTCTCTCTGACGGGAGGTGGTAGAAGGAGTCTTCAGACCCACTCTTTCTAGCTCAGAGCCTTTGCTCTCATCAGGACACTATCACCTCTGTCTGTTGGCATTTTCATTTCACTCTGTCTTGGATCCCCTTTCCTTTTACTTCAATAAGACTAAATTTTCCCATCTTTCAAGACATAACTCAGATGCTACCTCTGTTAAAAGAAAAACTTTGGACAAATTAAATTTAACAGAGTTAATTGAGCAAAGAATGATTCGCAAATTGGGCAGCCCTCAGAACCAGAATAGGTTCAGGGTGGCTCTGGGGTTGCTGCGTGGTCGGGCAATAGTCATGGATGGAAAAAGGAAAGTGACATACGGAAAAGAGAAGTGTGGTACAGAACAGCTCTTCTCTTAGAGCTGTTAGATTGGTCAGAGCTCGGCGTTTGCCTTGTTTTAACACAGTTTGAACATTTCACCTGTGAGTGGCTGAAACTCTGTGGTGGTACAAGAGCAAGTTAGTCTATTTATACACCAGTTAGATTACAGTTCACTGTGTACAGAGAAACCTTAAAGCTGAACTTAAAATATGTAAGGAGGCAGCTTTAGGCTAGACTTAATTTATCACTTCTCAGTGAAACATGCTATTTTTCTTTAATTGACACATAATAATTGTATGTATTTATGGGGTACTTATGATGTTTCCATACATGTATACAGTGTGTAATGATCAAATCACAGTGTTTAGCCTATCCATCACCTCAAACATTTATCAAGTGAAACATTCATGAATCACTGTGGCTCTGAGAAATCTCTACCTCTTCTGATTTTGTATGGCATTTAAAAAAATTTAAATGTAAAAATTTTGTGGGTGTATATATTTATGGGGCACATGAGATAGTTGGATACAGTCATACAATGTATAATAATCACATCAGGGTAAATGGGGAATCCATCATCTCAAGCATTTATCCTTTCTTTGTGTTATAAACAATCCAATTATACTCTTTTAGTTATTTTATTTTATTTTTAAGTTTATTTTTATTTTGTAGAGACAAAGTCTCACTATGTTGCCCAGGCTGGTCTCAAACTCCTGAGCTCAAGGAATCCTCCCTCCTCAGCCTCCCAAGGTGTTGGGATTACAGGCATGAGCCATCGCACCTGACCAGTTATTTTAAAATGTACAATAAGTTATTGTTGACTATAGTCACCCAGTTGTGCTGTCAAATACTCAATCTTATTCTATCTAGTTATATATTTGTACTGATTACATGGCATTTTTCTCCCCTTTGTGGACCTGCACTTTGTATTACAATTCTTCATATATAACCTTATGCGGAGACCTGTGTAGCTTCCTGCTTATTCCCTTATGTTACCTAGATCATCATGATGAATGGAATGCCTCCCAATCTAAAGACTGCAAAGTGAGAAAACAGGTGACTTTAAAGAATCTATGGTACTATTACTGTCACCAACTGATGGCAACTTTTCTCTGTTAGGTATTCACTACAGCCTTACACTGTCTGCCACTAAAAACTAATTGAAGAAGACATGAGATATATCAGTGTATTTTTAGATGCGATAAAATGAACTAGAATTTTTTGTCACCTGTTAGTCACTCAAGGACTTTGGTGGCAATAGGCCAGTAGAAGCGGGGTCTGGGGTGGGGGTTGGCAGTGAGGGAACAGTGTTGAAGCCCCTGGAAGAGTCTGGCTTGTAGTTCTGGTTTAGACAGGCTGCACATTAATCCTGAGAAAAAAACAGAGGCCAAGAGGGCAATCAAGGAAGGAAACAAAAAATAGGGCAGGGGAGGGCGATCAAAGAAAGGCCCAGGGATCCATGTAGCCTGGGCTCCAAAGCATCCAAATCTAAAGGTGCAGGCAGGATAATGGAATGCTTTAACAGTAAAATTGAGTGTGATACTGAATTCTTCCTCATTTTTTTGCCCAGGGCCAGAACAGCTCTCAGACTGTGGGTGGGCCAAGCAAAGATGCAATTAGCCACACTTGGCTGGGGCCAGGGGTCTGTGGTGTGCACACTGAGAAGCTGATGACAGTATTACTTTTAAAAAGCTCTGTTTAAAAATTGGTTATGGTTCATTTAAGCATTGTGGCTTTGCGAGTTCCCTCGGAGCTGTGTGTTTTGCCTTAGTTAAGTGGAGCCTGATGAACCAGAAATGCACTTTCTATTATATAATGTAGAGATCGGGTGGAATGGAAATTCAGTTCCTGCTAAGTGTTAAAGGCTGAGATCTCCAAATGAGCTAACTACCATGTCAGTTTCACAGCTCTGGTTTCAATGATCAAGGGCACCTGCTAATTGGCATTTGGCTTCTAAATAGGGCAGTGAGTTTGTACTTTTTCTAGATGTTTTTCAGCAACATTTGGAAATGCAAGTGACCTCGGTAGATTAAATTATCCTATCTGGAAGAAATGCACTCAGCTCAGAAATTTTACTTAGCTTAGAAGTTTTAAATATAGAGAAGAGTCCTCCACACGCTACTTGAGGGACTGGGTATAACCACAAGGGCTCTAAGCGTTTGCACAACGCAGGCATGGTACAGAGCTACCTGTTCTTCGGATGGGGCTGGAGCCTTGAAAAGAAGTTCATCCTTTCATTCAGCTGTGACTTTGGGATGACTTCCATTGTCAATCTCTGTACTGAAGGGGTAGACCCCTCTAGATCCTGTTGCACAGCCATGGTGAATAACTGCTGTCACCTGTTATTTGGCCGTGATCCCTCAGCCCAGCGATCCTGTTTATCTGCTGCTGTCAAGGTGTGCTTATCAGGAATCTGCTTTCTGCAGTGCAGTCTTCTCTCTTGCTTGGAAAAGATGTTAATTAAAAAAGAAATAGAGCTGCCAGAAGTGAATTATTGTGTTCATGGTTATCTTTGACTCTGTACCTGTTGCAGATGTCATTATCATGGGAAGGGTCTCTGTAGCTGGAGACTTCCAGCTGCCATTACCTTGTGATAGAGGAGTGCACAGAATTTTCAGATAACACAATCCTGAATCTTAAATAGGAGGGCTTGAATGAAGATAATCTTTCTGTTTTCTGCCAAACATCTGATTTGAAGTAAAGGCTTACTTGAACACTTAGACCTAGCTAATTTACTGAGACCCTATAAGGTTTCTGACAAGTTGCAGTTTTTAGAACCTCCAGTGTCAGTGTTCATTTACTTCTTCACAGTGTGCCTTTGTGCTGTTTATTCTAAAATCCAAGAGATTCTGGTTTGATGTAGTAATTCAATTTAATGTCTGCCTGATTCATGTTCTCAAAAGAGATCTCATTTTAGTTGTTTGGATCTGTAGCTTGCTTTCATCTTCATTTTCTGGTTCTTGCACAGTTTTTCCTATCCACTGTAAAGTTTCATTTTTGCACATCCTAATTGTCTCATTTTCTTTTGCTCCTTCTAATCACTGCATAAAGACAAGGGAAGCTTTTTATTTCTTTTTTAGAGAGTACACACATTTGCTTGGAATGTTAAGATGTTCTTTTCTGGCTTCCTTTTTACTGTCCTTTACTTTCAGCTTAGTAACGTATTGTACTTATATCCCTGAATTACAGTAGTTTAGGATCTGATTTACTTTTTCTTTTTCTTGAATTCTTTGATTTTCAAAGCTCCTTGCTTTTACTTGATGTTTCAGCCCTATTTTTTTGTTGTTTGTGCACATAAGTCAGACCAAGGATGCAGCAATGAAACCTTGTTATGTCTGGAAGCAATTTATACATTTACTAAGTACTAATTCATCAAGCATTTGTTAAGCTCCTACCATGTATATTGTAAGTACAATAATTTATCAAAAATGATTTGAAGATATTTCTAAAATGCCAGCAGGCTTGAAGAAGATAAACCACGATATTTTAAGACCCTCCTGCTGAAAGTTTGGTCCCTGGACCAGCAGTATTGGCGTTACCCAGGAGATTGTTAGAAATGTAGAATCTCAGGCTCCATCCCAGATTTAGGGAATCAGAAGCTGCACTTTACCAAGATCCCCAAGTGGTTTATATGCATTTTAATGCATGCATATAAGTATGTATAAGTATATGCATTTTAACATATGCATATAAGAAAAGCGTACAGAGTTGTATAACATAAATTTGAGGGTATATTCCTAGATTTTAATTATTCTCTAATTATTGCTACAATGTACCAATATAGAATGCAGAATGAGTTTTATTATTTCAGTGATGAAAAGAAGCTCAGCTGGATTCTTAGCCTTCAAAATTGGAGTGATGTATTGCATAGGCTTTGAGCCAAGTTCACTTTTTTGATTTGTTAGTAGTTCAACAAATCATTTTTGATCACCTCTCTGTGTGATATGGGAAGCAATGAGACATGGTTTCTGGTTTTGTAGGACTTACATTTTAGCAGGAGAGACAACCAATTATTCAACTATGAAAAATAATTTGGGGGTCATAAAAAGGAATGAAGTGCTGACACGTACTACAAAATGGATAAACATTGAAAACATTATGTTCTAGGAAAGAAACTGGTCACAAAGGACCACATATCACATGACTCCTTTCATGGGAAAAGTCCAGGATACAGAAATCTATAGAGGCAGAAATTGGTCAAATGTTAGCATTGGGCTAGGCCAGTGGACTGGAGGGCCAGGCAGTGATAGCTAAAGGCTACAGAGTTTCTTTTCAAGGTGATGAAAACTTCTAAAATTTACATACCTACTAAATACCATTGAAGTGTACAGTTTAAATGGGTGGAGTTTATGGTATGAGTTATATTTTAAATCAATACAATAAATATATTTTATGGTATGTGAGTTATATTTCACATATCATAAAATTTTAACAGTTATAACACTGTTAAAATTATTTTGGACAGAGCTATGGAGGAGGAGTCTTGGGTGCTCTGAGTGTGTACAATGGAGACTTCACGCCTGGACAGGCAGGTTTCTTTGACTGTGTGTCCCTTCAGCTAAGCTTTGGTGAATGCGTGGGAATTGCCTGGACAAGCGTAGTGGGGCCACAGAGAATTCCAGGCAGAAAGGGTGGCATTGCTTGGGGCCTATGGCAGGAAGCACATAGAACATCTGAAGACCTGACAGGCTAGTGGAATGGAGCATGGGGCTGAGGGAGGAGAGCATCATGAGCAAGCCTGGTGAGGCAGCAAGGCCAGGTCACATAGAAGACTTTGATTTTTATGCTAAAACAACAGAAGATTACTAAACAGCTTCAATCATGAATGGGTATATATATGTTTTCTAGATCACTCTTGTTTTGGGTGGAGTATGGATTGGATGGGGACCAAGAATGGAAACTGGGAGACCTTTGGAGATTAATGTAATAGCCCAGGGTTCTGATAGAGAAGGAGAATAGTGGATGTTTCAGGATATATTTTGAATGTAGAGGCAATAGAACTTGCTGATGGAGTGGGTTACTGGGTAAAGAAAAGGGTGACTCAAGGGTGACTCTTAGGTTTCTGACCAGTATGTCTTGATGAGTTCATATTGAGTTTGAGGGAGCTGTGGTCACTCAAGTGAAGATGCTGAAGAGTTGTATTTAGAGTACTACAGCTCAGATGAATGTGCTGGACAGGTGATAAAATCCAAAAGCTGGCATCGTATGGGCTTGAGATCATGGGCAGAGGTGAAATAGCTTAAGCAGAGAGTATAACCTAAGAAGAGATTGAAGACCCCACCTTGGAGGGACTCTAACACTTAGGGTTGACTAGAAGAGGGTGCATCAGCCTAGGAGACTGAAAAAGGATATTTAGAGAAGTAGGAAGAAAATCAAGAGTATTATTCAATGAAATTAGGCGAAGAAACTTTCCAACATGAAGTAAAGAGTGGCAACCTTTACTGAATGATGCTGAGAGATTAAATAAAAAGAGGATAGAAAATGTTTATTGGATGTAGCAACTTTGGCTATTCGTGATTTTAGCAATAATTACTTCAATGGAGTGATGGGATTTCAAACCAGATTGCAGCAGATTAAAGAGGAAGTGAGAAGTGAGAAAATAGAAAGAGAGCATATGAAAACCATTTTGAAATGTTCAGCTGCAACAGGATGGAGAGAGAAAAGGCTGTGGCTAGAAGGGAAAATGGGTGCAAGGTAGTGTTTTTATTTTTTAAAGCAGACGAAAGCGTGTTTAAACACAGATGAGTTCGGGCGTGGTGGCTTACGCCTGTAATCCCAGCACTTTGGGAGGCCAAGGTGGTGGATTTTTTGAGGTCAGGAGTTCGAGACCAGCCTGGCCAACATAGAGAAACCCTGTCTCTACTAAAAATACAAAAATTAGCCAGACATGGTGGCTGGCACCTGTAATCCCAGCTACTCAGGAGGCTGAGGCAGGAGAATCGCTTAAACCACGGAGGCAGAGGTTGCAGTGAGCCGGGATCATGCCATTGCACTCCAGCCTGGGTGACAGAGTGAGACTTTTCTCAAATAAATAAATTAAATTAAATTAAATTAAATTAAATTAACACAGATGAGAAGGGTCTAATAAAGAGAGGAAACTTTCAGACTGCAAAGGAGTGATTCTTTAATAAAGTATTTCGATGCTTAATGAAGTATTTTATATTATAAATATTTCCTGACCTTTTACTTTTTGTTAGGCAATATGCTACAACTAGGATTATATCAATGAAAACCAGTTTCTGCTCTCAGGATACTTTCTATAAGTCCTCTATGTAGCTAAAGTTCCATAAAGCTGCATTTTGAGTCTTCTTCACTATGCTTCCCCAGTATCTAGATAATACCTATCATAGCATCTATGTCAACAAAAATTGCTGAATTGTGTTATTCAAATCACTGTCAGTGAGTGTGACTTCTGAGCCTTTTTTTTCCAATGATGGTAGTGTATATATTATATGCAGTAGTAGTAATTACCAGGTTACAAGTAGGCACTAGTAATTTGGTAATTACTAGTTTAGTTAGTATGCACCATCCACTCATGCCAAAAGAGTATCTTCCCTGCATAGCTACCAGTCCTCTACAATTGTCCTACTATGAGGGTGTGATGGTTAATTTTAGGTGTCAGCTTGACTGGGTTAAGGGATACCCAGGTATCTGGAAAAACATTACTTCTGGGTATGGCTGTGAGAGTGTTTCTGAAAGAGATTGCATTTGAATCAGTGGACCGAGTAAGGAAGATCTGCCCTCATCCAATGTGAGTGGGCACTATCCCATCAGTTGAGGGCCCAGATAGAGCAAAAAAGCAGAAGAAAGGTGAATTCACTGACTCTCCTGGGGCTGGGACTATCTTCTCCTGCCTGTAGACATCAGAACTCCAGGTTTTCCAGTCTTTAGACTCTGGGACTTGTACTAGTGTCCTGCCCCAAATCTCAGGCCTTTGGCTTTGGACTGAGAGTTACATCATTGTCTTCTCTGGTTCTCAGGGTTTTGGACACGTACTGAGGTATGCCATTCTCTTCCTTGGTTTTCCAGCTTGCAGATAGCACATTGTGGAACTTCTTGGCTTCTATAACTGTGTGAGCCAATTCCCGTGATAAATTCTCTCACATCCATCTATGTATGTATGTATGTACGTACGTATCTATCTATCTATCTATCTATCTATCTATCTATCTATCTATCTATCTATCTATCTGTCTGTCTGTCTCCCATCGGTTCTGTTTCTCTGGAGAACTCTGACTCCTTTTTTTTCTCACTTCTTCTCTCCATCTGGTCTCCCCAGCCCATCAAATCTACCTCTAAATATATGTCAAGTCTGCCCTGTTCAGTCAGCCCCCATGGCTGTTATTTTAAGCCTTGACTATTTCTACCTGTGTTAAACTAACAATCTCCTAACTTATCTAATTTACCTTCTTAGAAACCATTCTGTACTGCTACCAAAAAGGATGTTCTTAAATGCAAACTGGATGTCACTCCAGCTTGAAGGACTCCAGGATATACTCTGATTTTTCATCATCTCCTCCCTGCCTATATATGTCCACTTCCCCCTACACACCACAGTCCCTCATGCCCCAATCCTTGTCCACTCATACGTTCTTCTCTGGCTTTTTTTTTTTTTTTGGTCTTGTTCTAGTTCAAACATTTAGTTCTAGCATCACCCTGCTTTCTGTCCTGGAAACCTTCTTCACCATCTTCATATGGACTTAGATGACTCCTTTCCTCTATATTCCTTTAGTGTCCTGCACATCCTTCGTAATGGCATCCAGCTTTTTTTTTTTTTTTTTTTTTTTTGAGATGGAGTTTCGTTTCTTTTGCCCAGGCTGGAATGCAATGGTGTGATCTCGGCTCACTGCAACCTCCGCCTTCCAGGTTCAACGATTCTCCTGCCTCAGCCTCCCAAGTAGCTGGGATTACAGGTGCCCACCACCACACCCGGCTAACTTTTGTATTTTTAGTAGAGATGGGGTTTCACCACATTGGCCAGGCTGGTCTTGAACTCCTGACCTCAGGTGATCCACCCGCCTCAGCCTCACAAAGTAGCATTTTTAAAATATAATTGCTGCATCTCATTTTTCACACAATGTAAAAGTTGCTTGAGTTCCTCATAAATTTTGAATGAGTAGTTTGATATCCAAGCAGGTGAAAAACCTGCTTATAATAACCTACGTAAGTCCAGAACCTTACTCTATTTTCTGTATAAACACACAAAATAATTTTTGTGCTGACTTTATATACTTTGAATTACCCAAGAATACAACTACTAAGTAAACTGAGGTAAGATGAAACTTTATTTGTAACTTTACCATTTTGCAAAATGCGTCACTGATGGCAGCATTGCCTATTAAATTGAGTCACCTACTCAGGAGGCCTATTTTTGTAGCTATTACATTCATGCTGATTGCATGTGTGTTTGCATGTGCACCCACATGCACACATACACATGCATATAGGCTTGTTTTTTCTTTTAAAATGTCAAATATGAAGCATTCATTCATGTTCAGCATTCATGCTGTTTTTCTATGCATACAGCTTTATTTAGTCCTTATTTCAAATTGTAAAATATGTACAAAAGCTTATGGAATGGTGTCTTCTCATAACTCCAAACTTACTCATTAAAAATATGTGCAAATATCTATCTCATTGTGTTTCCTATTGTAGTCATACCTACATAATTACATATTGAAATACATGATATTTTACTATGAATCACTTTTATTTTCCCTTTATATTATAGCTAGGACATTATATCGATGTCATAAAAAATTTATATCAGGGTAGAAAAGGAGATATTACAAAATGCTTAACTAAAAAGAGTGCATGGATCTAAAAGGGGAGAACAACTGGCATTTTGTGTCAATTTTGCAATAGCAAAATTTTGTTACATTGGCTCTTCTGAAATAAATGTTTTTAATAAATACTTTACAAATTCCTTTGATATGTTCTTTTATGTTTTAGCTGCAGTGGTGTGATAATCATCCTTTCTAAATGGTGGAAGAGGAAAAGGGAGTCTTAGTGAGTGGATTAAAGGCACTCTCAGCTGGCGACACCTTGCAAGGGGCTTCTGCCATTTGAAAAGTAGTGTCCTGTTTTTAATCAGGTAGTGAGCTGGGCACTGAGACACCTGGCGTTAGTGCTGATACAGCGGGGCCATGTGCCTAACTCTGGGCACATTCATGGGTTTTCTGAGCCTCGGGTTCTACATATGTAATATGAAAGAAATACATGCAATTATTTGCTGGTTTTCACATTTATTCTGATAACTATATCCCTAGAAGAATACCATGACCTACAGGTGCATTTAAAATTATTGTATTAACTAGAAATAATTGTACGACAGAAATTTGACCATATAATATAAATGTTACAAAAATAAGAATATTTGTTCAGAAAAAGGCAACCTTCCAAACTAAGAATGGGTAGGTCATTTTTCCTACTAATATCATTTAAGGATTGTTCACTTTTTCTGACATCCACTGGTGTTTGCTGGCAAATAAGCAAAGATGAAATGGTTAGAAAAAATATTGGGAAAAAAAGCTTAACATTGAGAAATTTTAATTAACTTAGTTTGTTCTCTGAAAGTTGAGAAAATACCATATTCTGGTAGTAGAATATAGAAAGAGAATTGAAAGCCTAGTTGATTTTTAAGATAGTTTCTGCTATTAGAAGGATTTTATGTTTTGTTTTCCAGGTCTTCCTAAGACAACACTGATTCTCACAGAACCAGGACACTTTTTTCCCCCTGGCCATGTTAGGATTGTTCAGTTTAGCAAAGAAAAAGGGTGCTCAGTGAAATCTGAATTTCAGATAAACAATGAATAGTTTTTTGTTTTGTTTTTAGTATAATCATGTCCCAAATAGTGCATAAAACAATTTGATTTCTGAAACAGCTCAGATTAACCAGTCCACTACTAATGTTTGTAGGTTTTTCTCGTGTGAGGTCAAAAAATATCGTGAGATCCCTCCCTTGAAGCAGCTTATTGGGGCCACAGTTGCTCTGAGGGAGTTAATTAAAACAACTGTTGAGTAATAACAAAGTGCTTTGGCTTAAATGGAAATAGTTCTTGAATTTGGCCAAGGAAGTCTGGTAAGGCTACTAATCCTGAACATTAAACTGTCAAAAATGTGCTCACAGTGCACTTGGGAGTCTGCACTGTAAACGGGAAGAATGACTCCCAGTTCCCCTGACTGGTCTCTCTCTCTCTCTCTCTCTCTCTCTCTCTCTCTCTCTCTCTCTCTCACACACACACACACACACACACACACACACACACACACACACACACTCGGGACCGGCCTGAGGTGGTGACAGGTGGTTTTTGTGTGGTTTTAGCCATGTGATTCGCGTTTGTGTGGCTTCTCACAGAGGGCGACCCCGCCGCGATCCTGTGGTTGTAGTTGCAGCTCCTAGTAAAATAGTGCCGCTTGGCGTCCGTGATCCCTGCAGCTGGGAGAGGGTAATGGGAGGACGGGAGTGACGGGGACAGACAGAGGCCGGGGGTGACAGGAAAGGAGCGATTTCGTGTTAGTTTTGGCCTCGGAGTGTAAAAACATCTGGGAAATAAAATGAGCCACGCTGACTGGAAATGTGAACGTTCGCCAAGATTATGTGAGGAAGGTGCAGCGAGGAGCTGGAGCAGACACTTTCCTGCCTGGCGCCGCCAGCTCGGAGATTTAAACAAGCAGCACCGGGGAAACCGTGCTGTTACACAGGGGGAAACTAGCTTATTTATAAGTGTTTTTATTCAGTTTGATTTTCCCCAGTTCCTCTTCTGTGGTACCAAGTTGGTTGCTTAGGAAAGTGGGTGGAGTTACCGTGTGATCTGAGGGGCTCAGAAATCAAAGTCTCAAGTCTTGAGATGTCAGAAATGTCCGGCTAGAGCCTAGGACAAGGTGTTTGGAGGATCAGATGGCACAAAAGAGGAAACAATAGGAGCAGGACTCAGGGAGCCTGAAGATTTAATAACAGAAGGAAGACGTATTCCTCGTCGGGTGGGGAATAACACCAGAGGCCTGAAGGAAAAGAAAAAGAAAAGATGTTGGATAAACACAGCCTCCCTGCGCTGTCAGCTGCTAATGATCCTGGGATGCGAGGTGGGGGCGCTGTGAGGTCAACTGCGTCCCTCTGGCAGGAAATAGAAGACGGGGCTGATGCAGCTGTGCTCCTCTGTTTCTGGTGTGGACCCTCCTTCCAGGCTGTCCTCGGGGCCTATCCTGTCCCCCGTCTCTGGGCTCTCTTCCTGTGGGATCTCCCCAACTTTCAGACAGCTGATCATGACCATTTGACTTAGCGCCCTCTTCCTACCCCTTCTCTTGTGCTCATCTCAGTTCTACTGCATCAGCCTTCAAACTTTTTGGACTGAATGTACCTATTAATAAAAGTTTTGAGTACTCATCTCCAGTATATGTTTATTTCCTTATAAACCACGTGCAAGAATTTTGTATACAGGTGTATAAATGTGAATGTATACATGAAATAAAAATGAATATAGAAGATAAAATATGAATTTAAAATATATAAGATAAAAATATTTAAAAAATAATAAAATGGAAGAGGTAAAAAACTTATTTAAGTGAATTTATGTTTTCTTCCTACAAGTCTGTCCATCAATTCCCTTGGAGAAAACTCAGAGTGTTCTGCCACTTTTTGGAGACCTCTGGGTGGAGCTGATTCCTGGCCACGCTTTGGGCTGAATCTGATCTCATAGTCATTTTCCTCACCGACCTCGGTTTCCTCCTAATTAGCTCCATCTTACTGACGCTCGGGACCTGGAGATACCGTAGCTTTAGGTCTCCAGTACCCAAGGTCAGGCTTACTTGAGATTCTTTAGCTAAGTCTTTCTGTCTTTCCCCCAGTACCGGAAGTCAAAGATAAATATCTGAATAATCTCAGACTGCCTCTGGTTGCTTCTCCAAAAAGGAGGAATTCTGTCAAATGCCAGCTCATTCAAGAGCAGATTTAGGAGTAGGAATGCCTCTAAGTAATAATGTGGTGGCACCCCCAGAGGCAGGAAATCCATGGCAACTGAGAAAGGCTGGGTCTCTGGGAAACCTGAGGCTACTGAAAATTTGGAGCAAGTTAGGAAATTCTATTGCTAATGAGTCATGGGCTCCAATTAAATGTATATGCAATTAAATCTATGTATAAGTCAAAACAAATTATGAAATGTTTCATCAATATTTGAGAGAAGATTAGAAATGAATCCTTGTAATTGATTGAAAATACTGTTCAAATTAGTATCAGATTTCTGAAAAAATTTTTATGGTTAGTTCCCTCATCTATTAATTTGCAAATAGCATCAGTTATATCAGGTCCCTCCCGGTCTTCAGTAGTATAACTAAATGATACTGATTTAGGCAGAGAAAATAGCCATGTGTTAGGCAGTTGAACAGCTGCTAAAGAGGACAGTATGTTACAGGGGTGAACCTTTTGCCATACCCACATGAGCTCATCTGGGAGCTGTAGCCGCGGCATCACCTTCTTAGCAGCTGTCAAGGAAGGCAAGTACTTCCACTGTTGAATGGCTGTGTTCCCCAATGGCATGACTGCCAACACAGGTTCAGATCATTCTAAACTCCCTTTTCTCTGTCCACTCTTGATTTTCCTTATAACCTGCAGTATCCCATTTAGGAAAGAGGTGAGCAAGGTCTCATTTTCAGTCTTTCCTTTCACTTCTCTATCACGAATACCTAAATCAACTTTTACATATTCATGTAAGAAAAGGCCTATCCCCCATCTTGGTGGGTATTAATGTTTTAGTACTTTAAAAGCATAGTTTTATGCATGAGATGGGGAAGTTGTAGTTGGATAGCAGTCCAGTGACAGTTAGTGATAAATTTGTGTTTTGAGTAGAGAAACAAGTGTACAATGATGTCAGGAATGCTTCTTGAATTACGGCCTAATTTTTGGCAGTTATCATATGTCCCTTGGCCAAAAAAAAAAAAAAAAAAAAAAAAGAAAGCTGTATGGAGATATTTTTTGTCTTCACTTTATATTATACTCTCTGGGAATTTTCTGCTTTGCTTCCTTTAATGTTAGAAACTCAACCTAGGAGGATAATTTATAGTGTTAAGCATTTTGTGTTTTGATTGGGTTTAAAGAAATGCTAGATTTAAGCTCTGAGTTAGTACTTTGTTTTAAATCTTGAAAAAGTAGATTAGTAACTGAGCTAGTGTTTTCGAATCTTCTTCTAAACATAAAGAGATATCACTCTGAATTGGAACATATATCTATATCTCTCTCTCTCTATATATATATATATATAATTGATTTATTTGATTTATTTCTTCAAGAAATATTTATTGACTGTTTGCCCTCTATCTGCCCTATTCTAGAAGCTGAGGAGATAGTGGTGAATAAGAAAAAAGGCCTGCCATATGGAATTTATTGTTATTTTTTTGTAGGGAGGAGAAGAGTCTTGATAATAAACCCCAGTAAGCAAATAAATGAATAAGATTATTTTAGATCTTAAGTACAAGAAGGAAAATAAAGCAGATATATTAACCAGGGTCTCAAGAAGACAGAGCATGCAAATTAGTATAATTTAAGAAAAGTTTAATAAAAGTTCTGTTTACAAGGGTAAGGGTAAGGGCATGGTAGGAAGCTATAAAGTAATGCAGTGCTTTGGGGTTAGTAACAGAAGTAAACCCTAAAGTGGAGGGCACAGTTATGTGAAGGACAGGGAGGCCAGGTAAGGAGGGCCATCTTATAGGGGTTCTGACCTTCAGTGAGGGCCTCAGCCAGCCCTTGGGTTTCTGCAGGGAAGGAACTGGAGAAGTAAGTACCCAAACTCACTGGCTCCCCCATTGGCCTAACCTACTGGAAGTCAGATGGTAAGGGAGCTGATGACATAATCCATCCCTACAGGTCAGCCTTCTGGGACACAGATCAAGTGGGAGAAAGGTGGAGCATGTGGCTCTGGAGCCACCTGGAGATATCCAGCATCAGAGAGAAATGAGATGTTATATAAAACTTGCATTTCTTGATGATCTAAAATGCAATGTCTCAAAGATGCTGACAGTTTATTTAAGGTGATCAAAAATAAATTCATGAAAATATAAGTAGCAATATAGAACTGGATATAGGTGACAAAAAGTGGTGTTCATCTACACCATAACTCTTAACATTTGAGAACAGGAAAAGATTGCTTCTACTTTGGAAGAAGAGGAAACATTTAATGGAGTGAGTATAATTGAAATTGGGCTTAAGGAATGGATAGATTGTTAATAGTTGGAAAGGAAGAAGGAAGCATGCCAGGAATACAAAATGTCATGGGCCAAAGTGCACAGATAGGACATGTTTTAGAAATAAATTGGCTCCAGTGGTTGGATGTTTCTATAATCCTTTCAGAATCAGACTTGTAATTAAAAATAAGCCTGCTCTCTTCTAACCTCCCTACCAGTGTAAAGATTATGTCTGTCAATGCTGGGTAGCTTCCTTCCTTCCTCCTCCTCTTCCTTTTCCTCTCTATTTCTCTTTCTCCTCTCTTCTTACTTCTGTGCTTTTCAACAAAAATTTATTGAGCGCCCATGATTTGCATAGTTGCAATAAGTAAGCAGTATGTCACTGTGTCGAACAAGACCATGTTTTCTACTTTATCAGGGAGTTTAGTTAGAATTTCAGCATTCCACAGGGTTTTTCAGTAATTCAACAAGGTAATAATAATACAAACACTTATGTGAACATTTGTTATATGCCAGATACTATTCTTATTCAAGGAGACTTGGTTTGTCTTAGGAAGAACGTATGAAAAGCTTAGAAGAAGGGATTACTGAAATGATCTCCCACATTTTAGTCCTATAAAGCTATGTTTGATTGTTTCAAAAGTGCTCGTTTGCTGAAATATTAAATTGACTGGACAACCTACTGCTTATCAAGTGTGAATAAGATTTCAGTTTTGCGTATATTATGGATGAGGAACATTTTCTCGGTGAGGGACCCATTGAAATTGAGTTTGGGTCCAGAGTGATATCCTTCCACTCAGTGGAAACATTTCCTTCTCTTCCTCTTTTTCTGGAATTCCAAATGTCTTGATGGTGGGGATGAGAAAGGCAGCTAGACTGAAAAGAGGATTACTCACTCTGAAGGCTCAGCTTGAGGACATGCTGAAATTGATGGGGGTAAAACGTTGTTGGGTCGTCTACAGAGGAGGTGAGAAAGAAGATTTTGCTCTGCGCTCAGAGAGATGCTTCTTTAGAGACATGCAGAGGTTTCTCTTTATTCCCAATGTTGACAAGAGAGAATTCACTTGGAAAAAGAGATCTTAGCAATTTTGTGCTTTTTTTCTCTCTCTCTTTGGGAACTGTATTTCCCTTATAACTATCTTTCTTCTTATAATTAAACCAAATCAAATTTATTTCATATTTGAGAATGCATGATACAGTAAATTAGTACATAGAATTCAGTTTTTAAAAATTATTTAAGCCCTATATTAAACTCTATTCCTCTGAAAGTAAACCCATAAACATTACATTATAAAATGTTAATTGGGTCAATTGCATGTAAGAATAATTCTGTGTTTTTACACTAAATAAATTGTGTTTTCTTTATTTCTATAAATAAAACCTTCAGGCTTTTTTAGAAAAATAAAATGTATTTTGTATATGTAAGGTGTACAGCATGATGTTATATGATACATATACTGTATATAGTAAAATTGTTACTGTAGTGGAACAAATTAACATTCATCATCTCACATAGTTATCCATTTCCCTTCACCTGGTGGCAAGAGCAGCTATAATCTACTCATTTAGCAAATATCCTGAATATAATACACTGTTATTAACTATAGCTTGTGTTGTAGATTAGGTCTTTTGACTTGTTCAGACTTGTTTATTCTTTTCTTTTTTTTTTGAGAGGGAGTCTCTGTCACTGAGGCTGGAGTCAGTGGTATAATCTTGGCTTATTGCAACCTCTGCCTCCCAGGTTCAAGCGATTCTTCTGCCTCAGCCTCCCGAGTAGCTGGGACTACAGGCACGCGCCACCACACCTGGCTAATTTTTGTATTTTTAGAAGAGACAGGGTTTCACCATATTGACCAGGCTGGTCTTGAACTCCTGTCCTTGTGATCCACCCACCTCGGCCTCCCAAAGTACTGGGATTATAGGAATGAGCCACAGTGCCCCGCCCCAGACTTGTTTATTCTTTTTATTTGCTACTTTGTATTCTTTGACCTACATCTCCTTATTTCTACCTGATAACCCATCCCTATTCTACCCTGATAACCACTGTTTTATTCTCTATCACTATGTATTTGACCTTTTAAAAAAGGATTTTGCATATAAGTGAGATCATGCAATATTTTTCTTTCTGTGTCTGACTTCTTTGATTTAGCATAATGTTCTCCAGGTTTATAGCAAATGGCATTTATAGCAAATGGCAGGATCTCCTCCATCATTTCTGAAGGACGTATTTCCTGTGTATAGTATTCTTGACTGACAGTTTTTGTTGTTTTTCCTTGTAGCATTTTGCGTATAACATCTCATTCTCTCCTGGTCTGCAAGGTTACTGCTGGAAATTCACTAGTAGTCTAGTGGGGATTCCTATATATGTCAATACTTGACACTTCTCTTGCTGCTTTAAAAATTCTTTGTCTTTGATTTTTGACTGGTTAATTATAATGTGCTTCAGAGAACACCCCTTTGAACTATTGAATCTATTTGGAGACTTTTGAACTTCATGGATGTCAATGTCTGTATCTCTTCTAAGACTTAAGAAACTTCTGGGAATTATTTCATTAAATAAGCTTCTGTCCCTATCTTTTTCTCTTCTCTTTCTGCAACTCTTATAATGTGAATGTCTGTTTGCTTATTGGTGTCCCATGAGTCCCATAGGCTGCCTTCATTTTTTTTTTTTTTTTTTTTTTTTTTTGAGATGGAGTCTTGCTCTGTCAAAGTACTGGGATTACAGGTGTGAGCCACCGTGCCCAGCTGTCTTCACTCTTTTTCATTATATTTTCTTTTTTTTTTTTTTTTGCCCTCTGGGTATTTTCAAAATACCTATCTTGAAGTTTAGAGATTCTTTTTTCTTCTTGATGTAGTCTACTGTTGAAATTCTCTATTTTATTTCTTATATTATTCGTTGAATGTTTCAGCTTCAAGATTTCTGCTTGGTTCTTTTGTATGATATCCATCTCTTTGCTGAATTTCTCATTAAAGTAATCAATTTTTTTCTTGATTTTATTGAATTTTCTATCTGTATTCTCTTGTATGTTGCTGAGTTTCCTTAAGATTATTATTTTAAATTTTTTTTCAGGCAATTTATAAATTTACTTTTCTTTGGGGTCAGTTACTAGACATTGTGTTCTTTTGGTGGTATCATGTTTCCTTGCTTTTTCATTCTTTTGTGGCCCTGCATTGCTGGCTGAGCATCTGGTGGAATAATCACTTCTTCCAAACTTTACGGAGTGGCTTTTGTAAGGAAAAACTTTCACTACAGGTGGGTCTTAGTGTGCCAGTTGGGAAGGGTGTGATGACTTTGGTTCCAAGTAGATGCAGTGGTATAGCATCTGTGCAGGTTCTTCAGCTGCAATCAATGTCAGTGATGACTATGGTGTTTCAGTGGGCTAGGCTACAGGAGTTTGTGGCAGTGGTGGCAAGAGCATAGGTTGTTAGGGTCCTCAGAGGTGAGGGCTTTTGGGACCTTTTCTTCTTGTTTTCCCTATAATGGGTAATCTTAGTTGAGGGGATCCCTCTTGGTGTCATGTCTGACATGACCCTTAAGCAACGGCATTGGTGCTGGGTTCCAGGACACAAATGCTCAGAGTGGCTGTGGAGCCAGAGTCCTGTGCTCAGGAGCTTATGAGCCTATTGTGGCACCAGGGTCTTGGGGTACAGGGTGAGTCTCCAAGGCATGTTTGGATGAAGATTACCCACAACGTTGGGATCTGTTACTCTGAGGAATCCCCTGTCAGCTCAGGCTCAGGAGGCCAGGTTGTAGCTGACCCTTGGGGACAGAGCACGGTACTGGCCTGTCTCTGGGAAAGAAGAGATTCTCTGGAGGTTTGAGTTCGGTGAACAGGGTACAATCACAATTTAGGAACCAGAACCAATAAGGCACAGTGGAAACTCAGGCCCCAGAAGATAAGACACTGCATAATGGTGACTCTGGACCCTGGGATGATGGGACATGGCAGTATCTCAGATTCTGTGGGGTCAAGTATGGCAGCAGCAAGGACTCTGGAATGGTGGAGCATAGCTGTCACTTGGGCCCTGGGAGGCAGGGGCAACACAGTAATGACTCCACTCCCTGGACTCAGCAGCCCAGACTCTACTCCACTTCCAGGGAAACAGGGTACTGCGGTCACTTGGCCTGTAGGACTAGGTGTCTGAGCTCAGCCAATGCTCGGTTTCTCTAGGACATGGGGCTCCACGTCAGCTTAGTCCTGAGATGCTTGACTGCTTGGCTTGTCCAAGGCACTGATTCCACAGGAGATGATGAGCTCCTTTATCTCAGGCCCATTTTGTGTGACTGCTCTGGGCATCCAAGGCATCATCTCCCCAGGGGAACTCCACGCAGCTCACTCATCTGGGCTTAGCCTCTGTGAGAACCTCAGATGTTCCCAGTGGTGAGGTCTGTAGGTGTCAAAAGTGGTGATGAGGACTGCTGGGGTCCCCTTGCTTACTTTTTCTCCGCAAAAAAAAGTACCTCCTAGTTCCAAGCTGATCCCAACTGGGTGATGGGGTGGTGGAGGCCAGATGTTTTCTTCTCTTTTCTTTGTGTCTGTCGTAGGTTACTGTGCTCCACAGGGTTTTTGCTATTCCTTTGATGTACTCCAGCACTCTCCTTTAGTTATTTTCATCAATATGTAGTTGTTTATTTTTTGTTTTGGCTGTATTTGTGTGGGAATGAGTGCTAAGGGCTTCTAGTTGGCTATCTTGCTTTATTGCATTTGACCTTTCCTCTCATAATTCTTAAATCTTTCCTTTTTAACTTTAAACTATTAAATTAAAAAATAAGTTATATACAAAATAATGATGGCCTATTTTAGGAAAAGCCAGTACATTTTATTTTCCGTGGTCAACATATACAAATTATAGATTGATCTCCTATGAAAGTTTTCCTCAAGGACTATTAAGCTTCTTGGATAGAGTTTCAGTGCTATTCTTATTAAATTTGCTCATTAAATATAGCTCTGGCACCATCATAATATTTAAATCAGAGTAATCATTGAGTGACAAATGAGATAATATGATTAATGTAATTTTAAAATGATCTGGCTGAATGTATTTCACACATGAGAGAAGTGTTTTAAATTTGCATTTTTATCACTAAAATTCTGGAACATAGGTATTGAGAAGTTAATTTTAAAGTTATATTAGTATTAACTTTCTCATTCTTAAACTTGTTTTCTAAGGTTAATTCCATATCAAATACGTACAGAGATGAAAGATACTATTTGAGCAGAAACCCAGAGAAACTTTCCATGACATGGGCAGTCTGAGGGTGAGAGGTGGACGGTACTTGGGGTGGGTGGGAGGAGCAGCAGGGAGGGTCTAGTTATAGAAACTTTTGCATTTGTAAGGAGATGAGGAGGAAAGGGGTCATGAAAAAAGAGAAAATGCAGGATTTAGTAAAGGGAATGCATATCTTTATGCAGGGCTTTTGCTCTGACCTACCAATAGAAAATGGTTTCCCAGGGACTGCCACTGTGGAGTTTGCCATTAAGCAGATATTTGCAAGCACTGGTGCAACTGCACCCTCCCAGACCCTGCAGGAACTTATGGGAAGCACTGTACCAAGACTGAGGGGGAGAGTCTCAGGGTTGTGTGGGGCACCTCACTGGCATAGTGGGGGATTTTCAGAGTCAGTGCTCTCAGCTGTGACAGAAAGCAACCAGGACTTTGTTTCTGGTGAAATGTGTGACTACTTTAAAACAAGTATGTGGAAAGGCAGAGCAGTCCTGGGATTTAGAAAAAAGTAGGACTTCCTGTCACAAGAAAAAGAAAAGGTTTTATGTGTATGTTCAGCTTGGAATGTCTACTTGGATGAGGGCTATGCAATAGTTCAGAGTTAACACATAACCTCTGCCTCCACCACATACCTGAGAGGCTCCAAGTTTTTGCTCTTGGTTAAGCAAGTTGGGGTTGATATAAAAAAGGAGGAGAACATAGAAACCTTTCAATAGCAAATTAACAGAGATCGTATACAAGATACCTGGGAGAAATAGAAGTTAAGGTCCATATGACTCAACCTTCTAAAGCCAGATTTGTAACAAGTAAGAAAATCCCCATGATGGTGAAGCAGCTAGAGAGCCCTCAATCCCAAGCGAAAGATGCCTGAGTCCCAGAATTTGGGCATTTCCTTGTGTATCCTGTCCTCCCTCATGTTGCCATAAAACAGATTTTTGTGAGCATTTATTCTTTGACTCATTGCAGACACCAGTATGTGTGGGACAGTCTCAGGATTGCCTAGAACTTGGGAGGGTGGCTGCTTTCATAGTTCTTGCAGTATTTGGTATCTCACTGCATTCATGAGGAAAATGATTGATAGATGTGGCATCTTTTTTCTTTTGTGAGAGAGACCCCAAGGAGGGGAAGATTGGAACATGATGCTGATAACTTCCTTTCCAACGCAGTCACTTATGTCTCAGTCCCAAGATTTGTTGGAAGAAACTGTGGGATATACAGTCAGATGCCATTGGGAAATTGACAATGTTGTCCAACACAATAGCAAAAGAAGAAAGGAAGGTAGGATCTATGCTGCAAGTCAGAAGAGATTTTCTTTCCACAAGTACATATAACATGTAAGTCCTCTGAGAGAAAACTGTGTAATAGATTTGTCAGGATTCCAAAAAACTTTCCTGGAGTAAGATGTAATGAGATGAAGGAATTTAGTCATTAACATTCTTGGGTGGGGTTGATTTTCACAAGAAAAACAATAAGAGCTATATCATTTGCACTTCGAGCTACAACAGAGTAGCCAATACTGGACTTGTCCTCCCACCATAAACAACTATAAAATCAGACAGAATATATGAGACAGATGTTTTCAGGTGTTGGACAATAGGCAGAGCAGGACTGGGATTCTTGAGAGAAGAGAACAGGAATGATACCTTTGTTGGCCCTGGCACTTTGATTCAGGGCGCCTTTCTAATTGCAGCAAAATGAGGCATAGTTTGAGGAGCAGTGTTCTTGCTGAACTGAGAGGCAGTGATTGGGACTTGAGGGCTGCTAAGCTTTGTGGGTAGAGTGCTAGAGAAAAGGAAGTTGCTTAGAGGGAAGTTCTGAGAATCTGCGTGGGTGTTTACCATAGGACCATGGCCTAGGCCTGGGCTGTGCATATGCTGGCCCAGACTCTGAGGTGCAGCAGAGAACAGATGCAGTTGGGAAGAGAGCTGACATGGAGAAGCCAGAGTTCATCCAGTGCTAGGAGATAATTGGTTTTCCATGACAGAGGTGAAGAGATTCGCTGTACAACTTGGGCATTCTTTTGAGATTACAGAAAACCCACACCTTAGCAATAAGGATTATGCCTTCAAGCAAGGGCTATCCCCTAAGGACAAAATGTCAACTCTTTAAAGGGAGACAACATAATTCAGGCTATTTACAATGTATCACTCACAATATTCAGCATACAATAAAAAAAACTTACGAGACATGTTAAGAAGCATGAAACTGTGTGACCCAACATCAAACCCTGAGAAATAACCCAAGTTGACACAAAGGTTAGATTTAGCAGACAAGGACTTTTAAACAGCTGCTAAAAAATGTGTTCGAGGACTTAAAGGACAGCATGTTTCTAATGAGAGAATATGTGGGAATGACAGTAGAAAATAAAAACTATGAAAATTAGCTAAGGAAATTCAGAAATGAAAAGGATAATATCTGAAATAAGTCTAATCTGTAGAATGAAAAGAAAAAAGATTTAAAAAATATTTTTAAAGCATTAGTAAACTCTGGCACAATATTTAGAAGTCTATCTTACATATAATTGGCATCCCTTAGGGAGAAGAGAGTGAATGGAGCAATGAAAATATATATATATATATATGAATAAATATGAATCAATAAGGGCTAATAATCTCCCAAATTTGGGAAAAAAAATCAGTGTCCATATCTAGGAACATTAGCAAATCCCAAACAGGGAAAATAAAAGGAAAAATACACTTCAGCAAATCATCCTCAAACTGCTGAAAAACCAAACAAAGATAAAGATAAAATTTTATTTTTTATTTTTATTTATTTATTTATTTTGAGATGGAGTTTTGCTCTGTTGCCCAGGATGGAGTGCAATGGCGTGATCTCAGCTCACTTGCAACCTCAACCTCCCAGGTTCAAGCGATTTTCCTGCCTCTGCCTCCCGAGCAGATGGGATTACAGGTGACCGCCACCAGGCCTGGCTAATTTTTTTTGTATTTTTAGTGGAGAGGGGGTTTCACCATGTTTGCCAAGCTGGTCTCAAACTCCTGACCTCAGGTGATCCAGCCACCTCAGCCTCCCAAACTGCTGGGATTACAGGCATGAGCCACCATGCCCATGCCAAGAGAAAATGTTTAAAGTGGGTGGACTCTGGGGGTAGAGGTGTGAGTGAAGGTAGGGGAAACACATTATGTAGCAGGGAATGACAGGTTAGCAAATACACTACCTAGACAATAAGCATGATAAAGCTGGTGTGGCTTTGTCTTTTCAGATGAAGTAGACTTCAAGACAAAAATTATTACCACAGATAAAGGAAGATATTTCATAACCATAAAAGGTCAATTAATCATTGGAGACATAATAAACCCAAATGCGCATGGACCTAATAATAGCTTCAAAATACTTGGGGAAAAATCTGATAAAAGTGCAGGGAGAAAGAATAAAACACATAAATTAGAGATGTTAACACCCTTCTTTAGTAGTTGATTGGTCAAGTAGGCAAAAGTACAAACAAAAAATCCAAGAATATAGATTTGAACAACTCTTTCCTCCACTTAACACAGTTGGCATTTACAGAACTTTCTATCTAACAGTTGCAGAACATATTGTTTTCAAGTACACATAGAATGTTCAGCATCATAGATCACGTGTTGGACCATGAAAAAGTACCAATGCACTTAAAGGATTGAAGTCATAGACTATGTTCTGTGATCATAATGGAATTAAATTAGAAATAAATAACCATAGGATTTCTAGAAAGAAGAAAACATCCCAAGTATTTGAAAATCAATCAATACTCCTCTAAATAATCCATGAGTCAAAGAAGAAATTAAAATGGAAATTAGAAAATATTTTGAATTGAATGGTAATAAAAATACAATATAAAAATTTGTGAACTTCAGTTAAATAATTATTAGAGGGAAATGTTTTACATATTTATATTAGAAAAGAAGAAAGAAAGAAGACAGAGCAAGGTAGAAAATAGAAGCAAAGAATTACAAAGAGGAAATCCTATGAAGTAGAACACAAATATTAGAGAAAATTACCATATGAAAGTTTTTTGAAAATACTAATAAAATTGATAAGCCCGTAGCAAGCATTATCAAGAAAAAAAGAGAGGGAAGATAAGTTATTAATAGCAGGAATGAAAGTGAGGATATAATGGCAGATCCCACATACCTTAAAAAGGGTATGTAAACTTGTTTCAGTAAATTTGACAACTTACATGAAATGGACAAATAACCAAGTTTACAAAACTGACACAAAAAGAAATGAAAAATCACAATAGCTCTGTATCTACTTAAGACATAGAATTTTTAATAATTACCCACTCTTTTTCCTTGAAATACCAGGCCCAAATAGTTTACTGGTACTAATGTCAGACAAACTCAGAAAATATAGGGCGACGGAATGTTTCCCAACTCATGTTATAAGGCCAGGATCATCCTAATATCACAACATGATCAAAGCATTACAGGTAAACAAAATTACAGCCAGTATCTCTAATGAACATAGACATAAAAATCCTCAGTAAAATATTAGGAAATCAAATCCAATCATGTATGAAAAGGATCATAAAACCAGGCGGAGTTTATCCCAGGAATATAAGTGGTTCAACATTTGAAAATCAATGTAAATTAGCCACATTACTAGAAAAAAAGAGAAAAATTTATATAATCATCTAAATAAATGCAGCAAAAGTATTTGAAAAAACAACACTTATTTGAGATTAAAATAAAACAGTTGTCAACAAACTGAAAATAGGACCTAATAAGGGCATCTACCCAAAATTTATAGCTAATTTTATACTTACATGAAACACTAAATGCTTTCCTCCTAAGATTAGGAAAAAGAAAAATGTGCTTTTCTCACCACTTCTAATCAGTATTGTAATATGAAGGTCCTTGTCAGAATAGTAAGGCAAGGAAAAGAAATAAAAGGCAAAATATTGGAAAGGATAAAATAAAATAATCTTTAGTCACAGATGACATGATTATGTTGAAAAGCCTAAGTAATCTATAATAATTTACAAATAAGTGAATTTAGCAAAATGTGAGGATACAAGGTCAATATACCACAAGCAATTGTTTTTCTATATGTTAGCATAAAAGTAGTAAATGAAATTTTAAAAATTGAGTTGTTAAATAGTATCAAAAATCAGATAACTAAGAATAAATTTAATAAAATGCACGAGGACTTGTACACTGGAAACTACAAAATTCTGCTGAGAGAAAATAAAGGAGATCTAAATAAATGGAGAGGTATATAATGTTCATGCATTAGTGTATATGTTTGGCTGTGTCCCCACCCCAAATCTCATGTCCCCACATTTCAAAACAAAGCACGCCTTCCCAACAGTTCCCCAAAGTCTTAACTTATTCTAGCATTAACTCAGAAGTCCAAGTCCAAACCCTCATTTGAGACAAGGCAAGTCCCTGCTGCCATGTAAGATGGGACTTTGCTCCTCATTCACCTTCTGACCTGATTGTGAGGCCTCCCCATCCATGTGGAACTGTGAGTCCATTAAGCCTCCTTCCTGTATACCAGTCTCAGGTATGTCTTTGTTAGCAGTGTGAGAACAGACTAATATGGTATACTTAGTACTTTTAAGATGTCACTACTTCCCAAATTGATCTATACCTTTATCACTGTCCCAATTGACATTTCCAACAAGCTCATTTTATAAAAGTTGTGAGTTGATTCTAAAATCTATATGGTAATATAGTGGATCTAGGACAGCCAAACATTTGGGGGTTGGGAGATGGGGAACTTTCCCTACTTGATTTAAAACCTTGTATAAAGCTATATTAATCAAGAGAGTGCAGAATAAGCATTAAGAAAGACAAATAATTCAGTGGAACAGAATTAGAGTGCAGAAAGATATCCTCACATTGAGTTTTGACAAGGGTACCAGGGCAATTTAGTGGTAAAAAGAAAGTCTTTTCAATAAATCATTCTGGAATGATTGGACATCTGTTTGGGGAAAAACTTTACAATCTCACACTGTACATGAAAATTAATTTGAGATTGCTTATAGACCCAAGATTAAAAGTTTCTTCAAAGCTTCTAGAAGACAACACAGCAGAATACCATTGCACTTTTTCTTTTCAGTTGCCCAGGCTGGAGTGAAGTTGCATGATCTCAGCTAACTGCAACCTCCACCTCCTGGGTTCAAGCGATTCTCTTGCCTCAGCTTCCCGAGTAGCTGGGACTATAGGCACGCACCACCATGCCAGAATAATTTTTTGTATTTTTAATAGAGATGGGGTTTCACCACGTTGACCAGGCTGGTCTTGAATTCCTGACCTCAAGTGATCCACCCGCCTTGGCCTCCCAAAGTGCTGGGATTACAGGCGTGAGCTACCACACCTGGCCACCATTGGCACTTTTGAGACAGTGCAGTTTTTGAGATAAAAGTATTTCTTGGAGAGGAAACAAAATGCCCAGACCATAAAAGAAAAAGAAGACTGCTAAAATTGAACTTCATCAAAATTTAAAAAATTTGCTCATCAAAAGACATCATTAAGAAAATAAAAAGGCCTGCTACATATTGGAAGAATATAGTCTGATAACACCAATGTTGATGAGGATGTGGAGCAGCAGCTGGAACTCATATGTTACTGGTAAAATACTTAGAAGTGTTTTGGTAGTTTCTGTAGCAGTTAGATGGGTACCCTATGACCCTCCAATTCTGCTCCTAGATTTTTACCCCCCCAAAATGAAAACATGTCTGCAAAAAGACTCATGCGATAATATTCATGGCAGCTTCACTCATAGTCACTCCAAAATGGAAATAACAGATGTCCGTGGTGAATGGATAAATAAATTATGGTGTATAGAGTTAATAGAATACTACTAAAACATGAAACAATAGGGATGAATCTCAAAAAACTTATGTTGAATGAAAAAAGAATCAAAAAAGCACATGTGTGATCTCATTATGTAAAGTTAAGGACGAGCAAAATTAATCTATGGTGATAGAAATGAAAGCTGTGGTTGCTTAGGGGCGTGGGAGTGACTGGGAGGAGGAACAAGGAAGCCTTCTGGGCTGATTTAAATGTTCTCTATTTTGATTGGTGTGTTGATTGCACATACACATTTCAAAACTCATCTAACTATACCTTAGGGTCATTGCATAACTCTGAATATAAATTTACTGCAATGAAAGTGATGAGAAAAGGCTTGGCTGAGAGAGTGGACTTCTTAATTTTCTGGAACTGCATGCAGTTGGCAGTTCCCAAGTTGGGAGCATGGAGTAGGTGGACAGAGAGCAAACTGGTGGGGACAGGGTAAAAAAAGAGCGAATGTGTGCAACGTTACATGAGAGAGAGGGAGGGATTTTGTAGCTAGCATGAGTGTGAAACCTTAGAGGAAAGAGAAGGATGTCTAAGGCAGATTTTAAGGAAGTTTTATTTGTTTGAAGCAGCATATAGATTCTCATTATCCCTTCAAGAAAACCCGAAGTGAAGAGCCGCATTCTTCTTTTTGGTGTTCAGAGTAGGTTCCTATTGCTTTTGAAAGTGTCACTATACCGAGGCTAGTTGTATGAGGACTCTGATTTGCAAGGGTGTCAGGTAGCATCCAACTCTCATTTAATCATCAAATAACTCAACCACCCTTACAGCATGGGGGGCGAGGGTCGATGGGTGGTTACTGAAGAGTGTAGTGTACATTTCTGATTTCCTGGATGAGAAGGACCCTGGAAAGACATTCTGCAGGGGTCCTTATATCATCAAACAATAAGGGCTAGTCTTGAAAGCCTACTTCCTTTTTTTTTTTTTTTGAGACGAAGTCTCGCTCTGTTGCCCAGGCTGGAGTGCAGTGGCGCAATCTCGGCTCCCTGCAGGCTCCGCCTCCCGGGTTCACACCATTCTCCTGCCTCAGCTTCCCGAGTAGCTGGGACTACAGGCACCCGCCACCACGCCCGGCTAATTTTTTGTATTTTTAGTAGAGACGGGGTTTTACCGTGTTAGCCAGGATGGTCTCGATCTCCTGACCTCGTGATCCGCCCGCCTCGGCCTCCCAAAGTGCTGGGATTACAGGCATGAGCCACCGCGCCCGGCCGTGAAAGCCTACTTACTTTTAAAGGAAAATCTTACTCTGGATTTATATGTGAAGAATCCTGGTGATTCCATCATGGGTTGCTTGAACAGAGCGAAATGCCCTATGGATTTATGCCCTCTCACAGCTCATTCACAGCAGCGTAGCATATCCTCTCTATTCGTTTGCTCCCAGAGGGATCCCCCTAGGTTTCCCTTGCTGTTCTGAAGCAACTTGAAATGCTGTGAAAACCTCAGCAGAATGTTCCGGGAGCTGCTGGAATTTACTTTCTTTATTCCTCAGCCACTATAGACCAACATTGGTTTCGGATTCTGCTTTGGTGCATGAATCCCTTTGTCACCAACTCCCTCTGCTGGTCTTGTATTTCCTTGAAATATTAAAGATAGCAACTCCAAACAAAAACAAGATGATGTTCACTTGCAAGTGAGCACTCAATGAAACTTACTTTATTATTCGCAGTTCTCATTTTCCTTCCCACTTTCCTGTTTTTAGCCATTACCTCCAGCCCTCTATGGTCATACTGTGTAGTTCTGTAGTTCTGAATCACCACGCCTCAACACATCGTTGTTGGGGTCACCAGTGAGGCATGTCTCAGATAATGTGCTCTTTCTTTTTAATGCAGAGTACTTAAAATATGTATTTCCATAAACTGTCTCTAACTCTTAACAGATTTGTACTCACTAGTTTTTTATATTTTTTGGCAGATTTGAATGTTAAACTCTTGCGTGGCATCTGATTTGGGGGAACGATTAAAAGCAAAGGGAGAGGGTGGGTAGGTAAAAGTTGAATTATTCTTAAAGGTTCTGGGAATGATACCATATTTTAAAACCAATCCAGAATGGAAAATGGAAGTTGCTCTCAGGCATGACAGTCTAGCATTTACAGCTCAGTTTCTGTTTCCAATTCTCCCAGAAGACAGATATCATGAAATTGTTCATGAAACTCCAAATCTCCTCTTAAGATGATGTTTTTTGGAGGCATGGAAAAAGCCCACAGACACGGAGGGCTCGTGCTGATCGTACTGTTCCCATTTTCCCTTAGACCTAGTGAGAAGGCGGGGGTGATGGGGAGCAGGGTCCTGCCTAATTTGAGCATGTCAAAGAAAAAACTGTCCTTTTAAAGCCTCTGCCAATGTTTTGGCTGGAGGGATATAGACCTGTAATCCTCTATTTAGTAGAATAACTTAGTGAGTTTTTGCTTATGCAGATTTAGACTCAGATCTTAGTTCTAAATAGGAATGGAGACTTAAGTCTCTTTATATAGTAAATGTGACTTTATTGGTTAGGGCCGGCAGTAAGTTTGGGGGAGAAGGTCCTACTTGAGAGCTCACTGGAATGTAAATGACTAAGAGTGATATTATCATGGGGATAGCTTTATAGGGATAGGAATTCAATAACATTTATTTTCCAAAAAACCATTCAAAAATTTTGGAAGTTATTCTATATCATAAGCACATTAGTTGAGGCATACCTCATTGCTGATCCCAACAATGATGTGTTGAGGTGTGGTGGTTGAGAATTATGGAACCATAGTGTCACAGTCAAAGGGCTGGGGCTGTGTTCTTTAAAGACAGGGAAGTTGGAAGGAAAATGAGAACAAGAATAATAACAGTAACTATGTTTTGTTGAGTGCTTAATATATGTCAGGCATTGGACACTTTCTGCACGTTATTTCACTGAATCTTTGCTGCGACCCTGGGAAGTGGCTAATTAACTTTGATAAAGTTTGTACATGGTGAACCCAGGATTCAAACTCCTCTTTTCTACCCCTATAAGGGCATGGAGAGAATTTATGGGTACAATTCTTGATTTGAATGAAATTAAAATGAAATCAACAAATATCCATTGATCATAGTGTAAGGCCTTATGGCGACATAGATTTCAGAATCTCTTAGAAAACATAGAAGATAAACATGTACCAGATGGGATTTTTCCTCCTTAAAGCCAAAACAGAAACAAAAACAAAGTGTATCTACTTTCATGCCCATTATTGTCTCCTTTTCCAGTCTCAGTCCTTGGTCTATTTATTAACTCTTTCTTTTTATGCCTTCAAACTCTCCCCTCACTTGCCATTTTCCTTCTTTGTAGGTTTACTCTACCCAACACAGAGATGAGCAGATATTCTGAGATTTTGTGCCAGGTTTTCATTATTCATTTTTGGGGGAATGAGAGGAAGAAAAAACTACTGCTCAACCACCTCCCTCATCTCCTCATTTTGAGAAGCTGTTGCTCTGAAAGGAGCCCTTCGGAATTCATTGACAAATGGGAAATCTGGGTCTCAGGAAGTGCCATTTTTTAAAGTGAACTTGTAAAAAGTCAATTCTTTGCCTGTCCTTGGGAGAATTAACTATGGAATGGGTAAAACTCAGACTGTTAGGCACAGTCAGGTTAAAAAAGTAGGGAAAAGGTACCCACTAAGGAGGGATTGTTGTCTAGAAAAACCAGGGACACGGTATCTTGTAATTAAAGGGTGTCACAGTTTTGTGAAAAAGCAAGTAGTATTTGGTAAGAAGCATGAGAAGTATAAGTGAACTTTTTTATTTAATATGATGCAATATTTTACTTAAATTGAGCCCATATCCTAAATTGGGTCAATTTCAGGTATACAAATGGGCTCTCTTTTCAAATACAGAATAGGTATTCTAGACCTAGACTAAACTTACTTCAAACTTTTGGCCTAATTTGTAAAAGAAGTTAAGAAAAGAAATAGAGAAAACAATCACTCAGTAAGTCTTAGCCCAAATGGTATGTGTGAATGAAATAGATTTTGACAAATATGTAAGAATCTGTTTAGCCTGATAAATGCTTGCCCATGTTACTGTTTATGTCTCTTTCCCATGCTGACTTATGTTGGCTTTCTGTTGTCATTAGAATTAGTATAATTAGATTAGTGCGGTGTCCTTTTCTGCTCTTAGCTTATATTACATGCCCCTGTGCTTCCTGCACTCCACATGAACATGAGTTAGACATTCATGGGTCTTACTTTTTGCTCAGGCTGATTTCAACAAGGATGCCTTTCTTGTCTTAGGCTATTATTCCTACCAATTCCTTCAGATTCTGTTTGAAGAAGTTATATCAGGAAGGTTTAGGATATATAAGTAAATCAAATAGGAGATGGTCACTATCAGAATGATACAGAGAAGTAGCGCTGAGAATTCAGAGGAAGGGAAGATTACCTCAGCTGCGGGCATCTGGGAAGAGTTTTGGGAGTGGTAAAAATTGCATTGGGCCTTTGTATTCAAATAAATGAATTATGAGTAGCATTTTGTTATACTGAAGTAGAGTGGGAAATGGAATTTCATGCAAAGAGAACACCATGAGGCAAACACTGGAGTGAGGAGTGTGTGAAACAGTGGATTGTGTATTTTGGCAGGAACAGGCATTGCAAAAAATAAAAGAGAATAGGCTATAAAGGAGGTTAGAGACACCGTTGAAACTTTGAGCACAAAGTGTTGGCATTGGGAGCTCAATAAACTCTTTCCCTTCCTGAATTCAGAGCCAGTTAAGAGATTTTAGGTGTCAACAAATTGGAGTTATAATGCCATCATCAGTACTGTTAGAGCTGATTAGAGAATGGACTTTTAATTGGTGGCCAAGTGGGCTTATTCATACTCCACCCTTGCATTAGACAAAATTACTGGTCAACTGAAGGCCTCTCTTTTCTGGGCAGAACCTGTACCATGTGGCAGACATCAGAAATTGTTCAATTCCTTCCTTCTTCCCCCACCCTTCCTTCCATCTCCCATTTTTCCCTCCCTCCCTCCCTTCCTTTGTTTCTTCTTTTCTTCTATATATATTGAGTACCTATTATGTGCCAGGTACACTTCTACTGCTGAGAATAAAGTATTGAACAAGGAAGACATAAGACTTACATTTAAGAAAGAGTTCAAATCTTCTTAAGGCAGACCAGATCTGAAAAGAAAAATCCCAGAAAAGCCTCAGCTGATCATGCTCAATTTCTTCTCCTAAACTCAGGATGCTGTATAACCACAGAAATGACAAATGTTTACCTCGCTCAATTTCCTAACCTACAAAATGGTAATAAGAACTCTTCCCTTGAATAACTCTTCCATTTTTTAAGTCAAATGAAAGCACATTGAATATCTTAGCATACTGTTCACACATAGAGACAAGTTGAGTTAATAAACCTTATGTTTTCTTCCCTCTTCTTACTTAGCAACTCTTATTACCATAATTCCTCTTTGTCCTCTTATTCATTCGTCTACTTTCCTTCTTGCCTGCTTTTCTCCACTAAGGATATTTGAGGGCTTTCCAAGAAACCCACCCTTGAGTTTTATATAATAGTCTTATAGCTACTTTGCATTGGAAAGAAAATTTGCTTGTGCTTTGAAAATGCTTTAACTCATTATTTAAAGTTGATAAATTCTCAGTTTTACAAATAGAATTTGGTCAATGTGCTGAATCAAAAACCCTACTGGGCAGTGGGAACTAGCATTGAAGGATACAGAGATGGTCTCTCTCCTTGTAGATCTTATGGGCTATGGCAGGAGGCAGATCACAAGTGTGATGGCGGAGCAATCCAGGAGATAGGAGGATCAGTGGGAAGACCTGTATAAGGAAGTATTTTTTAAAGATTTAATCCAGAGTCTCCTAGATGGCATTCAGAGGGCCAAGAACCTTCAGCTGAAACAGTATAGAAAAATGTGTGTGCATGGTCACTGCAGAGGCACACACCTGTAGCTGCATGCTAGGTTGGCAGAAAAGTTCATCAGATTCTCCAGGTGGAGTGTGACCAAGCAGGTGTTCAGTGTTTAAATAAACGGTTTATGAATGTTGTGGAAAGACTATGTGGTACTCATACTTAATGATGTTATTAATAATGCCCTTAATGATATAAACAGCTAACATATTTTTACTTCTCTGCACTAGTGGCTAAGCATTGTGTTAGGAGCTTTACACAGATTATCTCATTTAAAACACAAAATAGCTTCCAGAAGATAGTGGCAGATCTAGTAGTTGCCTGTCCTACAGTCTCACGCCTTTTGTCCTTGCTACAGAGTCCCTGTTGTTTTTCACCTTTCTCCAAATGGGCACATTCTGGTTGGCTCTTTCTCAGTCCCTCCACTTGGAGTGAATTGTAATTGGTATAAACAAATCATAGTGGTCTAATTTGACTTGCCAAATAATTGGCTAGGCCTGGAAAGGCCATGCAGTTTTGAGACTTGAGGGAAACACTGTTGAGAATTTATGAGAAGAGTTTTCTTGCTCTAAAATATGGATGCCAGGTAAATATGTTGTCCTTTCTATCTGTGGATATTGTCATTGGCAAGTGATGTATAGCACCAAACAGCAACTTGGCCCAATTTGAGGACCAGGCTAAAGAGGATAAGCCAATGCATCAAGCATGGTCAGAGAATGGAAGGAGTGAGATATAAAGGACCTAGAACCCTGATAGGATTATCGAGCTACTGAATTAACCAGTCTTGGAACTGCCCACCCCACCACTGCCCAGATCTTGACAAAGAGGGATAATAAATGTCCTTATTGTTTAAGATATTCCTGTTGGATGTTCTGTTACTTGTAACCAAGAGAATGCCTAGAGATGAGTTATTCGGTTTCTACAAAATTGAAGCACAGAGAAGTTAAGTTACTGTCCAAGGTCACATAGCTGCTAAGAGGGAAAACCAGAGTCCAAAACCTGTCTGACTCCTGAGGGGGGCCTTGTGCCTAATGACCAGCTGTAATCCCTTTGCACTGACCTTGACATTTCAATTCTGTATGAGCAGAATAGTGCTGATTTAAGTGCATTGCATTTCAAGAATAAAAATTTGCTGTACGGTGTTGTTAGTCTGGCCTAGAGTAAGATTATTGGTGACCCTGAGGCCTCCCTGGACTGTGACTCCCTCATTGATAACAGTTATGAAGCAGCAGAAGAGAAATGTGATGGGTCCTCTCCTAGCCTTCCGCTCCACACCTCCTCTTTACCTGTGATTACTGATTTGAGAGAGAATCTATCCAATGGATGTGTAAAATTTTAGTTTTTGTCAACTGTGTTTTTAACTGCATGATAAATCTTACTTAGATTGATTCCTTGAATTCTTGCGTATGGATGTGTCTGAGACTGAGGAATTATCCCATATGTGCATCATAAATATTTATATACATAAATATTATTACTTGATGGTTTGTACCTGCCTGAGAATAAAGTCACCTTAAGAGTCAGTCCTCATCCTTGTAGAGACAGACACCATCAGGACATAATGTAATTAATTCTGGGAGTCTTTGGACATGCTGTTGGGAGTGGTGATGTGGCACATCTTAGACTTCAGGATCATGGACAAGAGCATGTCCAAGTCAGGCTGAAACAGCGAAAGAGTGGACTGGTGGGACATTTCTGGAAGACTGTAGAGATTAGACTAGCATATGACATAATGAAACATTCTATAGGGTACCTTGGCTGGAAAATCCTGCTTTTTGGCTTAAAAGTACCTTTTGGACATAGCCAGAATTTAGGCAGCACTTATGACATTGGGATGTTGAAGACATTGTGACTATCACACCATGAAATACAACATCTGATTAAACTATTACATAAAGAGGATCTTTTTAAAAGAATCACTTTATATCTCCATACTGTCTTTGTCTTAACTCCGTATGTGTTAAAATATGAAGCCCATTTTTTTTCCCCCAACCAAAAGCTTTCAAGCCCAATCATTGACTTGGAACACTGAGAGATTAGTTGAAGAGCCATGTGAATGGGACTTGAATCAACATGTAGAAGTTCTAACTTGCAAGGAATGGGCTTTGCACATAATTCATTTTAGTGGCATGTTTAGAGTTATCTGTTGGTCTCTTCTGGGCTGAAAACATTTCCTAGGTTTAAATTCTTTAATCAGGTATTAATCATATAGCTGTATGCTTGTAACATCCATTTCTGTTGGATACCATTTGTTAAGTTAATGTATTTTATTATCCATCTACTTAAAAATATAATATGAGCTACTAACAAAACTACAATAACTCAGTAAGATGAAGATAAAATTAAACAAATCAGGAAAAAAGTCAAGTGGAATAGTGAGATGAAATCAGGAAGCCTTAGTACATGGAAGTGGATTATGCAAGATTATGCACATGTATTAAAGCTGCATCAATGAAGTGATAAGACTCAAACAGTCCCCAAGTTAGAAACATTCCTAACTGATCAAGAGAAGCAGCATTGACTTTCCCTGACACTAAGCCCTGAGGAAATGTTTTTCCTGTAAGTCTTTATAAAGGGGACTCTAAAATGTAATAAGAAGTCCCCTAAATAGTATGTTTACAATAAATATACAGTTCTGTAAAAGTGATTATATTGGGAGCTGGTATACAAAACGGTGCATCCCACACTTCCATAGTTAGATCTATGTGCATGGTTTTCTCTTTTCCTCCATGAAGCAAAGCTGCTAAATTGAGAATAGGTTTCCAAACCTTAATATTTGCCCATTGTGACTATGACCCTTTTGCAGGTGTGAAAACTGAAGCAGTTAGCTATAGTGCAGTCAGTCACAGTCCATATTGGAAATCACAGCCCTTAAGGTTATATTGTGAACTTACTCACTTTGCCTCCCTACTCTTTGTCTTTTTCATTATATATTTTTTTAAAACGATGGGTTTCCCTTGAGTTTAGAGTGCACCTGTTCATGTTTATATCTGGGAATGCATCCTTCCACTGGGAAGACCTCTGTGCATAAATTCTGGGTATCTCTTTGTTTTACAAAACATATATGGGAAGGTACAGCTAAAAGATAAAAGTCAAATGATTCTGAATTATGATACTCATTCCCAAAAAAGAGGGAGATGCTTAAATGTGAATTGCTTGGAAAAAAATCAACAACCAGCTCTCCTCTCTGGACTTCATGGGCATTTCAATGTATCTTTGTGGGTGGAGTGGGAAGAGGCTGGCCCTTAACAATCATACCACGTGGAAGCTTTTGGTGTATATAAAGTAAATCAGGCTCAGTGTAAAACATTGTTTACAAAACGGTGTCATTTTATAAGTTAACTTTTCCCATGATTGTACCCCAAGAGAGAACACCTGTTAGTATATAGTATATAGTATATAGAATAACATAACCTGGGGTATGTTATTCAGATTTTTATTTTCTCTGGGAATACTAACATTTATGTAACTCTGCACAATGGTCTTCTATCTTGAGTTAGAATATTGGTCAAAAGGAATTGAGCTTTAGCTTTCAGCAGGTCAGGGCCATCACGTGGCCCATCGCCTTCATCTCCTGCTGTTCACATTGATGGAGTACAGGTGATTGCAGGGAGAAAAATATCTTGTTTTCTTCCTCTGCTGGGAACACACAGAACCCCCAAAACATTGAAAGTCACCTTTTACTTTGGATTCTTGCAATACAATCCAACCCATAAGGTGTCGAGAGGGTGTTGAGATGTCAGATGAGGTTGGCTGGCCCAGTTGCCCATCGCCTTGTCTTTTTGCCTGGACTTTTGTTGCCATTTGCATATGGTCCCTCTCCTAGAGAAGCACTCCTTTGCCTCAGTCTTTTTAACTCTTCCTCTTCTCCTTCAGCACTTTGCCTCCTCCTGCAAACTCAGCATCAGTGACTCTCTGATCTGCCTATTTTTAGTTTTGAACGCTTTCTTTATGCTGCAAGTGGAAAGTCATGGAGGTATTTCCATATGTGAACCTGTAGCACAAGGAAAGGGTTCATGCCAGAGACATGAAGTTGAAGCTACCCTCATATAGGAGATATTTAAAATCATGAGACTGGATGAGATAACGAAATCAGAGAATGAAGACGGAGAAAAGAAGATGTTTACTCAGCAGTTTGAAAGTACTGATGCCTGTGTATATGAGGTGTATGTGAAAATAAATTCCATTGTGAAATCTCAGAGGTAAGAACAAAAATTAAAAATAAGTATCAGCTTTTATAAGTCTGTTCCTTCTGCTAAATTACATATGAGATTCATACTGGCCAAAGAATTTACTTCTGAGCTTCAGGGAAATAAAGCCTTGGAAGAAATACTTAGCTAGGATCCTCTCATGAATTTGTTTGTCATTTAAAGTTTTATGGTATTAGACGTTATCAATATCTATGATAGACATATAGTATTTGTAATCCAAATTCATTTTTGGATAAATAAAATTTTCTAATCATATACTTTTTGTGTGTTTCCAGATACCTGTAAGAATACTATGAAAATATTCGGTCATGGATTGCTTTGTTGTTTACATATGGTTTCTTTCTCTTTATTTTATTATTGTTTGGTGATGAAGAATAGTACAAATGTATTTGAAAATGATTGTTGTCCTGAATAGTTAGAGTTGTACATGACAATGATCATATGAACCAGAACTAAGAGAACTTCACTTGTTACTAACACTGTTAATGCTAATAATAAACAGTTAAAAAGAGAATTTGAAGTCATATAGTAAGAACTTGGGAAAGTAGGCGTCATAACTTGTTTTTCAGGAGTATCTGGAAATGAAAGATGATGTAGGTGTATTTGGGCTAGTGTGTGTGTGTGCATGTGTGGGTGTGTGTGTGTGTGTGTGAATGACTTAGTGATATAAAAGTGAGGTAACTTTTGAGCATTAGTCAGCCAGTTACTTACAGTTGCTACCAGTATTTCCATGTATTCTTTGGCCACAGGATTAAGAGTATCAAACTATCGCAAGAACAAAAAACCAAACACCGCATATTCTCACTCATAGGTGGGAATTGAACAATGAGATCACATGGACACAGGAAGGGGAACATCACACTCTGGGGACTGTTGTGGGGTGGGGGGAGGGGGGAGGGATAGCATTGGGAGATATACCTAATGCTAGATGACGAGTTAGTGGGTGCAGCGCACCAGCGTGGCACATGTATACATATGTAACTAACCTGCACAATGTGCACATGTACCCTAAAACTTAAAGTATAATAATAAAAGAAAAAAAATAAAAAAATTTAAAAAAATAAAAAAAAAGAGTATCAACAGCCTAGGTCAGTTCACTGAAATAATTTAATAACTCAAAAGCAAGTAATCTAAAAAGATGTTGAAGTGCCAGTCCGTGGATCAGCTACCAGCAACCTAATTTTTATGCCATAAATATAAATTAATTATTCTCTTAAAGATGAGTATCTTACCTGTGAGGGCAGACAAGGCCTTATTGAAACAGGGTGTTTGGTAGAGAGGAGCTCTGGAATGAGAGCTCCTGTGCAGACACTCTATTCCTCTAACTTTAACTTCCTTCAACTTTAGCATAGGTACCATGGAGAGGTTTTTGTTTTGTTTGATTTGTGTGTGTGTTTTTCGAGGAGGGGTGGGGGTCGTGGAGTGTGATTAGATTTAAAGTTAAAAGGATCTCGATTAAAGAATTACTGGATCCTGTAATAAATCCATTTTCTGTTTTAGTTTTTCCAAAGACAAATGATTAAAATGAAATTTTTGTAAAATATAAAGTCATGATATAAAAATTTCACTCAGTGAAAGCATTTTGAAGTCAAATAGTTTAGGTCCTTTAAAAAAAGGTTATATATATATATATATATAACCTTTGTCTTTAGGAATAGAACATAGAGACAGCAATACATGGATAGTAAACCTGTCTGTGAGACCAGCTCAAATCCAGGATGTCAAACAAGCCCCTGATATGCACTGGACTGAGGTCATTCTGAAGTGGTATTCCTGGGCCTGAAGTGTTGACTCTGTTTTTCTAAAGATTACTTCTTATGCTTTAGATCAGGGGTTAGCAAACCATGGCACATGGCCCAGATCCAGCCTCCTGTCTGTTTTTGTACCACCTAGTACAAAAGGTAAGAATGGTTTTTACATTTTTAAATGGTTGAAAAAAGAGAGAGAGAAATAATATTTCATGACAATTGAAAGTGACATGAAATTCAAATATTGATATGTGTAAATAAAATTCTACTGGAACACAGCCATTCATTTACTTATTGTCCACGGCTCTTTCATGCTAAAATGGCAGAGTTGAGTAGTTGTAACAGAGACTTTATGGCTTGTGCAGCCTAAAATATTTACTGTCCGGCCCTTGCTCACCCCTGGTTTAGACATCAGTAATGCCTTCAGCCCTGTGACTCCTCCCCATCCGTGCTGTAGTGGGTCTTCAAGAACCCAGTACTGTGAAGATGCACTCATAATAGTTCAATAGACAGACGGCCAATGCCTATCAAATACAATTTTTTTTTAGGATTAATATTTTTTGATGCTCATCTTCTTTTTCATAATAATGTTTCCATAAAATTACATGTATTTGGCCGGGCGCAGTGGCTTACGCCTGTAATCCCAGCACTTTGGGAGGCCGAGGCGGGTGGATCACGAGGTCAGGAGATCGAGACCATCCTGGCTAACACGGTGAAACCCCATCTCTACTAAAAATAAAAAAAATTAGACAGCCGTGGTGATGTGCGCCTGTAATCCCAGCTACTCAGGAGGCTGAGGCAGGAGAATCACTTGAACCCAGAAGGCAGAGGTTGCAGTCAGCCGAGATCGCACCACTGCACTGCAGCCTGGGCGACAGAGGGAGACTCCATCTCAAAAAAAAAAAAAAAAAATTACATCTATTTTTGAAAATTTGGGAAAGAAATGAATGGAATAAAAAAAAATCACCTATTCCCCACATTAAATCACTTAACCCTTTGCTTATTTCCTTTCAGTTTTTAATTGTATACACTGAATTTTTTTGCATAAATGGGATTTTTATATGTAATTTTTAGTTACCTTTCTTTTTTTTTACTCACCTCAATATTTTGGACATTTTATTGTGTCTTTAAATATACAATTTTCATGCCTACATTGAATTCTCTCTTATGAATGAATTTTAATTTATTTAACAACTCTTTTCTGATTGGACATTTGGGTTTTAGAATAAATAATGCCACATTATATGTTTTTCATACAAATATCTTTCTATGTATATTCTTAGAAATATGCTAACAGAGTCAAAGGAGATGAATATTTTTAGATTTGGGAGAATGTTTAACATGTATATGTGGTAAACACAGAGTTACTTTTCAGATGGGCTGTAAGAATAAGCATATACTTAATACATCTTTCTACAACTTAATATATTATTTTAATGATTGCCAATTTGGAAGGCAAAAGTTTTATTTTATTTTTATTTATTTAATTACAAGTGAAGTTGAATATCTTAAATATATTTTTCTATGAATTGTCTGTTCATGTCCTTTGGCTATTTGTTTTTACTGGGAAATCTGTATTATTTTTATCTTTGAAGTCCTCTTTCTACATTAAGGACATTAACATTTTACTATATATTTGTTGCAGATATACCTCATTTGCCTTTAATATTTTGTGTATATTTTTGACATAATGGAGTTTAAGCCTTTATGTAGTCAATTTATTGACTTTTTCCTTTGTGATCTGCTTTAATTTTGAAATACTTCTTTGCTTTGAAATTTCTTTTCAATGTAAGGATCAGCCAAATATTTCTTTATATATTCTTTGTACTTTAAATGATTTCATTATTTACATTTAACATATTGGTGTAGAATCTCTTTTGGTCTGAGGTTAATATCAATCCTGATTTTTCCTCATGTACTTTGCCAATTTTTCTAGCAATTTATGTGAATAAACCCACATTCTTCAGTGGTTTTCTTTGTTATATACACTTTTAGTTTTAGTAGGATCTGTTTCAGGTCTTGCTTTTGTGTTCTATTGATCTGCCTGCCAATTCTTTTATTAGATCACACTATTTTAATTGTTTATTTTATAACACCTTATAGGACAAGTTACTTTCCATTCCCCTAAACCCCACTGGTCTCCTTTCACAAAATTTCCTTAGACTGCTTTTTTGAGGTGGGAAGAAAGGACAATAATTAAGTAGTAGAATTCGTGGTTGCTTAAACTCATTCTTCAATTAAGGCAATAAAAACATGCTATTGTAACAACTTTTTCAGGCTGTAACTTGAGGATATGTATTCAGCCTATTCATCTAATAGCTGTGAGAGTCTCTCTTAACATACATTTTAAAAGGTTAAACCTTTTAAAAGATGTTCTGATTCCAACATCTTAATAGTTCCACATGCTTTGAGATAGTTTTCTTTTCTTTTTGCCTAGCTGATTTTAGTTGTAGCATTTAGTGGCTTTGAAAAAGTATTATGGATCTTATTGTATGATAATATAGCTTCGTTAATAGATAGTGTTTTATGAGTAAAAATATTATTTCTCAATGAGTGTTTGATGAGTGTCACGAACCATCTTGTTCTTATGTGTTTCCTCTGAAGGGCAAATAGAGAGAATAGTCATAAAGTTTATTTCTTAAACGTGCTTGTATCCTATACACAGTATTAGATTCATTAATTCATGCAACAAACATTTCTAGCACCTCAATATGAACTAGGCACCAGTGCTATGGCTGCTGGAGATGCAGCAGGGGTGGTTAGGGGTGGGGCGAGATCAGTGTAATGGTTGTCCCGAAGCTTAAATTCCAGTGGGGAAGACATGTTATTATCAATATACAAATAAATAAAAATATATAATGCAACATAACTTGGAGATAAGTTCTCTGAAGAAAGCAAAGCAGGGTTAAGAAAAAAAAGGTGAGACAGAGGTAAAGTGACTCTTGACTAGAGCATCAATCAAGGCCTGTGTGATTAGGTGTACAAAGAGTAAAGAGATGTGAGCATGTTATACTAAAGGCTGGAGGAAAGGCCTTGCAGGCACAGAGAACACCAAGTACAAGGCCCTAAGGTGGGAACAAGCCAGTGTTTTCCAGGACTGTCGAGGAGACCACTGTGTCCAGAGGGGAGTGAAAGAGTCGGACAGGAGTGGAGGATGAGGTCAGAGAAGTAGCCAGGGGTCAGATTAAAGACTTGGATTATGTTGGGTAGGATGGGAAGTTGTTGAAAGATTCTTAGCAAGAGAGTAATAGGATTTGGTGTCATTTTAGACAGTATCTCTCTGACTGTGTGTAGCAGAAAGTGAATGGTAGTATCGTTCACTAAAAAGACCGGGAGGGTAGCAGACTGTGGGGTGGAGTGGGGTGGGAATCAGGAGTTCCCTTTGAGCAGGTTGCATTTGAGATGCCAATTAGTCACTTAAGACGTGTGAGGTGTGAGTTGGCATAGGAGGATGCAGAGTCTGGAGCCCAGATGGAGATTTAGAATTGGGGAGTCATTGGCACAGAGATTGGTGTAGTGTCGTGGGCTGGTCAGACCACTCAGGGAGTGTGTTAATTTCCTAGGGCTGCAGTAACAAATTACCAAGAATTTGGTGGCTTAAAACAGCAGAAATTGGGCTGGGCGTGGTGGCTCACACCTTTAATCCTAGCACTTTGGGAGCCTGAGGTAGGTGGGTCACGAGGTCAAGAGATCGAGACTATCCTGGCCAACGTGGTGAAACCTCATCTCTACTAAAAATGCAGAAAAAAAAAAGTAATTGAGCATGATGGCCTGCACCTGTAGTCTCAGCACTTGGGAGGCTAAGTCAGGAGAATCGCTTGAACCCAGGAGGCGGAGGTTGCAGTGAGCCGAGATTGTGCTACTGCACTCCAGCCTGGAGATGGAGTTCAACCATTGTGGAAGTCAGTGTGGCGATTCCTCAGGGATCTAGAACTAGAAAAGCCATTTGACTCAGCCATCCCATTACTGGGTATATACCCAAAGGATTATAAACATGCTGCTATAAAGACACACGTACATGTATGTTTATTGGGGGCACTATTCACAATAGCAAAGACTTGGAACCAACCCAAATGTTCAACAATGATAGACTGGATTAAGAAAATGTGGCACATATACACAATGGAATACTATGCAGCCATAAAAAAGGATGAGTTCATGTCCTTTGTAAGGACATGGATGAAGCTGGAAACCATCATTCTCAGCAAACTATTGCAAGGACAAAAAACCAAACGCCGCATGTTCTCACTCATAGGTGGGAATTGAACAATGAGAACACATGGACACAGGAGGGGAACATCACACACTGGGGCCTGTTGTGGGGTGGGGGGAGGGGGAAGGGATAGCATTAGAAGATATACCTAATGTTAAATGATGAGTTAATGGGTGCAGCACACCAACATGGCACATGTATACATATGTAACAAACATGCACATTGTGCACATGTACCCTAAAACTTAAAGTATAATAAAAATAAAAATAAAAATAAAAAACATTTCCATATTAAAAAAAACAGCGGAAATTATTCTTTCACACAGTTCTGGAGACTAGAAGTCTGCAATCCAGCAGGGCTGTGCTCCTTCTGGGGGCTCTGGGGTCAATCCATTCTTTATCTCCTCCAGCTTCTGGTGGCTGTCGGTGTTCCTTGACTTGTGGCCACATCCCTTCAATCTCTGCTTCCCTGGTCACATTGCCTCCTCCTCTTCTGTTGGGCAGACCTTCCTCTGTCTATCTCTTGTGAGGACATTTGTTGGATATAGGACCCACCCAGATAAGCAAGGATAAGATTCTCCTCTCAAAATCCTCAACTTAATCATGTCTGTTGCCATATAAGGTAGTACTCACTACTTTATCAAATAAGAGAATAGTCATAGGTTCTGGGGATTAGAACATTGACAGAGGTTTTTTGGAGGCCAGCATTCAGTCCCCTACAAGCAGTCAGTGTGGATTGAAAAGAGGTAGTCCCGAGACTGAGCTCTGGGGTGCTATAGTGTTCAGAAGCCAGGAAGAGAACGCAAAACCAGTGAAGGAAACTGAGGTGAGGTCAGTCAGGTGGTGCATGAGGAGGAGGGCCATAACATGGTGTCTGATGAAGGATGTTTCAATAAGGAGGCAATGACTAGCTGTGTGAACGGCTGCCAAATAATTCAGAAAATAAAGATCAAGCCTCGATCATTAGACTTTGGAACTTGGTGAACTTGCCAAGTGGTGTTCAGAGAGTGGCATACTTGCATTAGTTGTGGGCCCCAATGCTGATTCCAAGTTCCACTGGAATATTATAGTCCTATTTCAGCTGCAGGATCAGTGGTTGTCCAGTGCTTCAAATGTAAAACGTTATTTAATGATTTTTTTCTTCTTTTCTATGTAAAGTTCTATGTGTGTGTTGTGTTAATAACTTTGTTTCTTCAAACAAATTGTTAAATGCTCATGGATAGAAAAACTGGAAATTGTAATAAGAAAAAAATTAAAGTGGGCTATTTCATTTTGAATTTCATCTTAAGTGCTGCTATTTTTTTTTCCACTAGAACTCCTGTTTTATTGCTCTTTTTTACTGGGCTCTGAGACGTTTTTATTTTTTTTCACAAATTTTGCTGAGTTGAGTGTACAATTGCTTAGGAGTAGACAGAGGAATTATGGCCAACCCTGTTACATCATGCCTTTTGGGTGGAGTCTGGCTGATATAAATGGCTGGACTGACCACTGATGTTGAAGGGGAGGAAGCCCTATTATCCTGATGAGGGGGATGTAAGCAGATCCATTCCACTTGTAGAACATCCAAAAACCATGGAAACATGCCTTCAAGGGCCAGTGATTTCAATTTGTCTCCTGTCTTCATGACACATTCATAGGGAGGAATTCTTACCTAGATGTTAATATGAAGGAAGTAATAAAAATTATTTATTTGTATTTTACTTTATTTTTTGTAATTTCAACCTTTATTTTAGATTCAAGGGGTACATGTGCAGATTTGTCATGTGAGTGTATTGTGTGATGCTGAGGTTTGGGGTACAATTGATCCCATCGCCCAGGCAATGAGCATTGCAACCAATGGGTAGACTTTCAACCCTCTTCCAACCTCCCCCTTCTAGTAGTTTCCTGTGTTTATTGTCCCCATCTTTATACCCATAACTCCCACTTATGAGTGAGAACTGCAGTATTTGGTTTTCTGTTCCTGTGTTAATTCCCTTAAGATAATGGCAGCCAGCTGCATTCATGTTTCTGCAAAGGACATGATATTTTTCTTGTTTATGGCTGTGTAGCATTCCATAGTGCATATGTTCCACATTTTCTTTGTCTAATCCACCATTGATGGGTCCCTAGGTTGATTCTATGTTTTTGCTATTGTGAATAGCACTGTGATGAATATGCAAGTGCATGTGTCTTTTTGGTAGAATAATTTATTTTCCTTTGGATATTTACTCAGTAATTGGATTATTGTTCGAATGGTAGTTCTTTAATAAATCTCCATCCTTCTTTCCACAGTGGCTGAACTAATTTGCATTCTCACCAAGAGTGTATTTAAGTGTCCACTTTTCTTCATAGCCTCATCAGCATCTGTTATTTTTTGACTTTTCAATAATAGCTATTCTGACTGGTGCAAGATGACATCTCATTGTGGTATTGATTTGCATTTCTCTGATGATTAGTGATATTGAGCATTTTTTTCATATGTTTCTTGGCTGCTTGTATGTCGTCTTTTGAGAAGTGTCTGTTAATGTCTTTTGCCCACTTTTTAATGGGGTTATTTGTTTTTCGCTGGTTGAATTATTTAAGTTCCTTATAGACTCTGGATATTAGACCTTTGTCAGATATATAGTTTGTGATTATTTTTTCCCATTCTGAGGGGTTGTCTGTTTACTCTGTTGGGATTTTCTTATACTGTGCAGAAGCTCTTTAGTTTAATTCGATTCCACTTGTCAATTTTTGTTTTGGTTGCAATTGCTTTTGAGGACTTAGTAATAAATTTTTTTCCAAGGCCAATGTCCAGAATGTTGTTTCCTAGGTTTTCTTCTAGGATTCTTATAGTTTGAGGTCTTATATTTAAATATTTAATCCATTTAAATATTTGTATATTGTGAATTATTGTGTATTAAAATTAAAATTCATCTAGTTGAAATTAAAATTCATTTAATTTTTGTATATGGTGAAAGGTGGGCAACCAGTTTCAATCCTCTGTATATGGCTAGCCAGCTACCCCAGCACCATTTATTGATTAAGGAGTCCTTTCCTTATTGCTTATTCAACTTTGTCAAAGATCAGATGGCTGTAGGTGTGATGTTTTATTTCTGGGTTCTCTCTTCTGTTCCATTGGTCTATGTTTCTGTTTTCGTACCAGTACCATGCTGTTTTGGTTACTGTAGCCCTATAGTATAATTTGAAGTTGGATAATGTGATGCCTCCAACTTTGTTCTTTTTGCTTAGGATTACTTTGACTATTTGGGCATTTTTTCAGTTCCGTATGAATTTTAGAATGGTTTTTTATAATTCTGTGTAAAATTACATTGGTAGTTTGATAGGAATGGCATTGAATCTATAGATTGCTTTAGACAGTCTGGCCATTTTAACAATATTGATTCTTCTAATCAATGAGCATGGAATGTTTTTCCATTTGTTTGTGTCGTCTGTGATTTCTTTCAGCAGTGTTTTGTAGTTCTCCTTGTAGAGATCTTTTACCTCCTTGGTTAGATTTATTCCTAGGTATTTTATTTTTTGGTGGCTATTGTAAATGGGATTGTGTTCTTGATTTGGCTCTCAGCTTGAACATTATTGCTGTATAGGAATGCTACTGATTTTTGTATATTGATTTCATATCTTGAAACTTTACTGAAGTTGTTTATCAGTTCCAGGAGCCTTTTGGCAGAGTCTTACGAATTCTCTAGCTATAGAATTATATTGTCAGTAAAGAGAGATAGTTTGGCTTCTTTTCCTATTTGGATGCTTTTTATTTCTTTCTGTTGCCCGATTGCTCTGGCTAGGACTTCCCGTACTGTGTTGAATAGGAGTGGCGAAAGTGTATATCCTTGTCTGATAAAAATTATTTAAATCTCAGAAAGCTAACAATGGAATCAGGGGGATTTTAATAATATATTGATATTTTGCATTTTTATAATGTTTCCATCAAACTTGTGAAAGATAGACTTGGGGAGAACAATTCTGAGTTGGAAGAAGTTTACAGTGAAAAGTATCAGATTCATCTCTGTCTAAAATAGGTAAATTGAGATTAGGATGAAGAACACAGGAATGTTATTTAGAGTGCTGTAATGTGGCTCAATAAGTAGACGTAGGGATAAAATCCTCTTGAGATATCCTCTGATGCTCAATCAGCACCATAAGATTGCGATAATGGAGTTGGCCAGGTGCCTCTTGCTTCAATTTAAACAATCATCTTTGGAGAAAGGGCCCATGGAGCTTATTAACTAAGCAAGATTTCCTCTTGAAGCTTTGACAAAGCCATTTCCATTTTCTATTACTCAATTTGCCTAAATTTTATGTGTCAGTCAATGGATATTGGAAAATATAAATCTTAGAAAGATGTCAAATTAATTCTAGGCATTCAAGACCCAATATTAATTCTAGGCATTCAAGACCCAATAGGTGGGATATGTTGTTGAGAATACTAGGTCAATATTTTTAGGTATTTTGGTCACAACAGGAAGAAAAACATTCTTATGTTACGATTCTGAAACTCAGAATATGAATTGCTAACATAAATTGAGATCAATACTTTTATCCTACTTTTGTCTCCTTACATTTTGCTTTGCCAAAAGTCCAGATGAGAAAAAGGTCTTGAAAGTGGAAGTAAGGAAATTTGTTTTATATAAGCTGAATCACTTATTAATATGTACTATTAAAGGCTAAGAATGAATTTTAAAATTTAAAAGTTCATTGTATGTGTCTTTCAATGAAGCCAAAGTTATTGAGAATACCATATGGCTTTAGAAGATATATTTGGTGTCTTCAGGAACTTGAAGCTTCTAAATTATTAACAGCTGTCAGAATAGAATAGACCAAATGTATTTGGAGTTTAGTTCTTTGTAGTGGGGAAATTTGTGGATTTCCTGCTTCAGCCCAACTGATGAGAAGAATCACAATATGAGAAGAAGTGATGAGAAGAACTTATAAATATGTTAGATGGTTGCACAGGATGAATAATTTTGCTACAGAATATGAGATAGATGAGAGAAAAGATAAATTTAAAGGCTGTATCATCAGTTTAAGAAATAGACAATTAAAGCAGGAAAATAACACTGCCAATTGGTAGGAGTTTCATCATGCCCAGGGGTTCTCAGTCTAGGCACTACTAACATTTCGGGTCAGATAATTCTTTGTTGTGAAGTCTATCTTATGCATTGTAGGATGTTATATAATACATTGCAGCAGTATCTCTCGAATTAACCCATTAAATTAACCCATTAAATGAAAGTAGAAACCCTTCCCCAGTTGTGACAACCAAAAGTGTCTCTAGACATACTAAATGTCTTCTTGGGGGGCAAACTTGTCCCTAGTTGAGAACCACTAAGCTAGACTACTTCAAAATAGCTCCAAAAGTCACATTCTGGTTATATGCTCAAGATGGAACAGGATGAAGGAGAAGGTTTATTGAGAACTTTGTTGAACATGTTGTCAGGATGAAGCTTTATTTGGGAAGTACTGTAATTAAGTTGTAGCTCCTGCATGTATATTATATTGATGAAAAGCTTATTATTTTGTTTTCAGTCCAGAGTTAAATGAGTATAATAAGAGCACAAATATTGTAGGTGATGAAATTGTCTTTTATTTTTGCCTCCCTCCTAAAAGGCTTACAAATATATGCAAGACAGCCAGAATTACTTTCCAAAACTAAATCTATAGTAGAGTGGCACTGGGTAGCCATTTCTGGGTATAACTTTCCTCGTGCTTAAGTTTCACTACATCTACTTGGAGACCTACATAATCTTATGTGCCTGTCTTCACATATTCTAGACTAAATGATATGTATGACAAAGACTATTTGTATGCACCAAATATCCTCATGCTCCTCTCCTTTTCTCAGCCTCCCTTGCAGCTAAGCTGGGGACATATAACTGGTTCTGCCCAGTGGAATGTGAGCTGAGCACGGCTTCTGGGCCAAAGAAGTTAAAAGCCAGAATGCCTCTTCCATCTCTCTCCTTCCCTGTCAGAGTGACTTTGGGGACCTTGCATGTATGTGTCCTTGTGAACCAAAGAAATAGCTGCTCCTTTGCTCCTTTTTTTTCCATTTTATCTGTTTTCTCTTCTCTTTTTCTGTGATGTCCATTAGTGGGAAGTTGGACTTTCTGAATTAATCTGCTTAATTCTCTTTTATTTCCAATTGTCATCACTTTATATTTCTGCATTCTGGAACCCATTTGGAATTTGATCACATGGAATAGAAGGTTCAGCTAAGACTTAAGAGCACAGGCACCACTACTAGTTGCCTTTCTTCATGTTAATGATATTATGGTGAGAAACAACATATACCTGGGGTAAACATTTACTTGGAATGGTGCTACACATAATCTAGCACATTCTGCATCAGAGGAAGGTCAGGAGATTTGGGGTCTGATTTTTCTGTAAATAAAGGATTATATGACAAGGTGTCAGACTTGGGAGGCAGCACATAGATCATGGTCATTAGAGCATGCCCTCTGCTGCCAATTGTATGGATAAGAATTTCAGTTTTGACACTTATTCGTTATGTGACCTTTGGCCCGTTACATAAACTCTCTGAGCCTGACTTGTCTGATCTGAAGAGTGAACGTTAGTACCTATAGGTTGTAAGTATGTGATGTACTTTAAGCTCTTATAAGAGTACGTGTTCTGTAGCACGGAATCCTTCCTACCTTCCTTCCTTCCTTCCTTCCTTCCTTCCTTCCTTCCTTCCTTCTTTCCTTCCTTCCTTCCTTCCCACCCTCCCTCCCTCCTTCCTTCTTTCCTTCCTTCCTCCCTTCCTTCCTTCCCTCCTCCTCTTTTCCTCTCTTTCTTTCTGTCTTCCCTTAAAGTGCTGCTTTTATTGTAAGTGCTATGTAGGTGTTTGCTCTTACTGTTAGTTGGGTTGTAAATTAAAAGCATTATCTATCATGAGCCTATGAGCTTGAGAATTTTTTGAGTTCTATAGAGCCTGTTGTATTTCTCACTATATACTCCCACAGTTAGTATAAATAAGTTAAGTGCTTTCATAATTTCACTTGCTTCATCTTTTCTATCAGGCACAGGATTGCTGGTAACATAAGTGGTACGTATGGCAAAATAAGACGGTGCCTTTTCCTCTGGGCATGTCAGTGTTTGTGCCTGTTTTGGCGAGCACAGCATGGGCTGGATTTCATTCCCCATGTACCTACAGGCACCTGCAGACTGAATGCTACACCACTGTGCAGGGCCCTGATTGAGACATTACTCCCAGAAGGAAAGCTGGCCAGGGAGACTCAACTCTCACATTCCAGTGTGAATTCTGTCACTGGGATTGGGTTTCTAGTAATGGTGGCATTTACTGTCTTGATTTCTTGGCCCTCCCCTTGCTGCTCTCAAAGGTGGGGGGCATCAAGCCTATCACTTGAAGGCCTAGGTATGAGAGGGAATCAACAGCTTGGCTGTCAAGTCCTTAATCCTATGGGTATTCTTAAATCTTTGAGATTGGATGAGATTAGTTACGTATAGTGAATGAAATAAGAAGACTATAAGTGAATGAAATAAGGTCCTTAGGGACCTCAAACTTTCAGAGATCATCTGAAAAGATAGGAGTGGGCAAGAGATATTGAAAAGGAGAACTCACAAAGAAAGGAGAAAAGTGAAGGGGGAATTATCACAGAAGGTAAGCGAGGAGAGAGATATGAAACCAAAGCCTAGGCTTTGTGAATAGCTATGGGGGTTATGTGGTTGTGCAAATTGTTTTAATAATTCATGACTGACTGAAAAGTAATGCTAGCATTTCTGTTTCCTCCTGATCACCCTCCTGTCTCACAGGTGACAGCCTCTGATGCAGATTCAGGACTCTATGGCTTTATTGAATATTCTCTTTATGATGGATTCCTGAGCTATGAAGCACCTCAGGCATTCCGGATCGACCCTCATGATGGGCAAATCTGTGTTTCTCAAGATATCGACAGGGAAAGGGATCCAGCTACCTATGATCTCCTGGTGGAAGCTAAGGATGGGGTAAGTTTTTATGTATGAAGTTTATTTTAAACATAATCACAAGTGAGCCACTGTGTATACATCACAGAGGACCAATGATGATCAACAATTGGGTCATTCTGTTTCATGTGTCACTACCTCTTTCCTTTGCTGAAGTTTTTTGAAGCAAATATCCAGCATGTTATTTCACCCATAAATAATTCAAGAATATCTCTAAAAATGACTTTAAAAACACAGAACTACAAAACATTAACAATAATGCTTTAATGATATCTTATATCCTTTCTATGTTAAATTTTCTTGATTATCAAAACATGTCTTTTATAGTTGGTTTCTTTGAATGAAGATCCAAATAAGTTCACAATTGATTTGATCGATATATTCTTTAAGTTTCCATCTGTAACAGTCAGGCCTCTTACCTGTTCTCCTATGGCTTTTTTAAAAAACCAAGTCATTTGTCCGGTAGATTTTCCACATGCTAAATGTGGCTGATTACATCCTTGGGATTCATTTACTGTGTTCTTCCATTCCCTCTATTTCCTATAAACTAGCATTAGAGACAGAGAGCTGATTGTTTTCAGATTCATTTAGGTGATGCCATTTGCTTCTTATTGCATCAGCAGACACATACCATTATTTTCTTAGAGGTTGAAAAATGGTAGCTTTTGAATTCTATTATTCCTTTTGCATTTATTATCTGGAATTCTTCAACTAAGGAAAATGTTCTCACAACAACTATTTGATTACTCTTAAGTATAATTCATACAGGAATTGCAGGATAAGGCTTGATTATTTGTTTTTATTTTACCAGTTTTTTTTAATAGTAACTTGCTGTCTTAATTATCTCCAAAGGTAAACAATAATGTCTTTTTCCTAATTTGAGTATAAATTCCTGGATTTTAAAAAATTTGATGTATTTCAATACATTGCTGACCCTATCCTTTCTGATGTTCTCATTGGCCCATTCTTGATCAGTGAAGGCACCTTCAGTTTGATTCCTTTGTCTTTTTTTGTTGTTAAACTTTTTAATTGACATATAAAATGCATACAGAGAAATGCACAAATAATAAGTGTATAGCTCAATGGATTTCTGCAAAATCAACAGACCCATAAAAGCAAATGAGAAAACGTTACCGGAACCCAGAAGCCCCCTCTTTGCATCTTGTTGTAACTGTCCTCCATCCACCCCTCCATGCCCCCATCCCTGCCTTTTTAGAAACCACTGTTGACTTCTAACACCAAGCATTAGTATACCAATTTTTTTAACTTTCAGTGAATGGAATCATACAGTATGTGTTTCTGTCGAGTTTCTTTTGCTGAAAATTATTTGCCGGAATCATTTATGCTGTTGTGTATAGCAATAGTTCACTCATTCTCATTGGCTTATAGTATGCCTTTATGTGAATATACAATAATTTTAACCTGTTCTATAGTTGGTGGTATCCATTTTAGGCTATGCTTCTTTTAACATTCTTATACTTGCAATATGGTGAACAAATGTAAGCATTTCTCTTGAGTATATACAAAGGAGTAGAATTGCGCTCCCACCAGTGAAGTATGAAAATTTCATTTGCTACACATTCTCCCTAATGTTTGATATTTAATGCCTTTTTTATTATAGAAATAATAGTACTTATGTAATGATATATCACACTGGGGTTTTACTTTGTATTTGTTTAATAACTAATGAGGTTTTTTTTCATGTTTATTGCTATTCGTATAATTTGTGAAGTGTCTATTCTTCACAGAAGAAAATCCTTTATTCATTTTCCATTGTTATTGTTGGATCTTTTTCTTACTGATGTGCATGAGTTCTTTATATTTTTGGCCTGAAAGTCCTTTTTTCGATATATTTACTGCATATATTTTTCTCCCATTCCGTGGCTGGCCTTTTCTATTCTTAATGGTTTCTTTTGAGGAACAGAAGTTCTTCATTATAATAGAGCTTAGTAGTTTCTCAGTTTGCTTCCTTTTATAGCTAGTGATTTTTGTGTTCTTTTAAGAAATATTTGCTTATCTTAGGGATATGAAGATGTTCTCTTATTGTTTTCTTCCAAAACTTTTGTTTTGTTTTACCTTTCATACTTACTTTTTTTCAATCTAGTGGGAAGAAGTTTTGTTATTTTTTCCCCTATGATTAACTCAGCACCACTTACTGAAATGGTTATTCTCACTTTTACCTATTTATCCACCTTAGTGCTAGCAACATCTCTCTTAACTATTTTAGCTTTATCATAGGTCATGGTATCATACATTCTTTTAGCTTTGTTCTAACTTAAGATTACCTTGACTATTCTTGACCATTTACATTTCCAAATACAGTTTAGAAACAACGTGTTCAATTTACATTGTTTACAGAAAAGGTGGCCTACTATACACACCGTTCTGCGCTTTGATTTTTTTTCACTTATTTCATTTTGGAGACTTTACTTATATTTTTCACTTATACATTTTGAAGACCTTCCTTGTTTCTTTTTCATCTGCTTACTACTCTTTTGTATAGACAGACCCTACTAACACCTCTCTGGTCTAATCATTCTCTTTTGAAATTAGTGAGAGAATCCACCTATTTAAGCTGTGAATTTTGGGGAAAAAATGAGTCTAAATATATTACAAGTAAACATGTAAAAATGAACATGAAGTACAGCCCTTTATATTCAATAAATATTCATGATCTGTTTGGTTAGATTTTTGCCAATACCTTACTATGTAGTTTCAGGAATCCCTGACTCTATGTAAGAAAATATGTAGGAAACAAAAAATAGGAGTAAACAGAATTTATATTAATTCAAGTATATGTAATTATTTGAAGCCCAATAGATGCACACCCAAATATTAATCCAAGCCTTAAAAATATATTCTTGATAGATTTTGAGACAATTGTATAATGCCATCCTAGAATTGAATAATGGGTTTAAAACACAACTCTCATGAAAACCACCAAAAAGAATTAGCTGTGTCTTCCAGGCTACTGTCTGCTGTCCACTGTGATCTAAACAAGCCCCTGTTGATTCAACTAGTTTCCAGGTTTTGGTGGCCAGATGCAGGACACAGAGATCCTTGTAGTCGTAGAACTGCTGTCCATCAGGAGAAGCAAGCTCCCCTGCAAATGCTCATAACCTGTCTGTCATATCAATGCACCACCACAGCCTGGAAAGCACAGTGCTCCAGAAGTGCATTGGGAATTTTGACTTTAATCCAGGTGTCTTTTCTGGTATTGTAGATATAGAGGTGGTTATATAAGCAAGTTTTTTTTTTTTTTTTTTTTTTTGCTATTAAAATATCCACCTCCAAAAAGGATCAATTCATTGTTTTCAGGATGAGCAGAGAATGACACATTTAGCCCTGGTGAAGGTAAGGAACATGATGTTTCTATAATCTGAGTCTTTTAACATCTGGTGCCTGGAAATGGGTTGTCAGAGCTTCGAGTTTTCCTTCTCCCCTGAGTGCTTGCACACCTTCTCCATCTTGGCTGTGATTTTCTCCTTCTTGCCCTCTTGCCCGTCTTGCAGGTATGAGGCTGAATGGAGATCCAGACAGGGAGCTGTGTGCAGGAGGGAACCCTCTTGGAAGCAGGGCCCCTCCTGGAAGCAGGACCCCTCCTGAAGTAGGTTTATGTGAAAACGGGACCTGGCACAAGCCCAGGGATGCATTTTAAAAGACAAATTCTAGAAGAGCCTCCACATCACAGGCTTTTAACAAATCCCCAACCTTCACTCTGGACCTAAAACTGCCTCCAGCATTCCTTATGTTTGCCTCAGAATATATGGAGAGCAAGCAACATATGTGTTTTCATGTGAGTGTATGTGTATGTATACACATATAGTATGTATATATGTATGTAAACATATATACAAATACAAGGTTATCCAGTGTGCAGCATTTATTCTGTTGACTGCATAATCCTCATGAATTTCTTCTGTGATGAACTGAGTTTTTACAGGGTGACTTCTGCATCTATCATAATTATTCTTTGCAATATTATTTAGCAGTACATGTCCCTCAGAAATGCATAGTCAAAAAGGTTGGTAAAGAGAAAGATGACAAAGTTGGTAATGACTCAGTAGTCTTCCCCTGAAAGCAACGTAGACTGCATTCAAAGAATAAATTAATGCAGACAGGACATTTTAGGTTTACGTTGTTGGATTCTAGGCCATAATGAGTTTATTTAAACCAATAAACTGAACCTTGACAGAAGTCCTTTAACTTTATGTTGTTACCTTGACAATCTCTGGTTTTTCCTCTGATTCCTTCTCTTTGTAATAAATGTCCTGAAAGCCCTTTAGAAGAAAATTGCTGAGAACCCATTTGCTGGTGGTTACTAAGAGATTTTTATCTGCCAGTAGAAGAATTTTTCTTGTAAAATACATTGATGTTCGTTGCTACTGCTCTATTTATCCTTGTGAAGACTGTCAATATTTTTTCAACTGAGTCACTTCTACTCTACTGATATTACTTCTGAAATACTCTATTTTTGCTGCTGCTGCTACTGCTGCTGCTATTTATCTCATAAGTCATGAGAATGCTATAAAATTACATAATGTAACCAAACAATTGAATTACATTGGCAATCAAGTGGTTTTTCACAAGAAAGCTCTACAATTTAATTATTCCATGCTTATATCTAATTTTTTGTTTCCTTTTCCCATTCATTTTTACCAAATAGATTTTTTTTGGTGTATGTGCTTATTAACACTCTATCTCTATTTTTTGTTACATCCTGGATTCTGTAGCTGACATATGTGTTTGAGATAAAGCTATTTCAACTCCATCTCACCACTGAAGGTTTAAGGGAGGATTTTGTCAGACGAGCAAGAAAGGAAGTAAACGGACTGAGCTCTTCACTGTTCTTTACATTCATGAGAAAAGTTGGCTACTGAAGTTGTGCTCATAGTTTGTGTG